>NC_000006.12:8999393-9150909 GCF_000001405.40 Homo sapiens | reverse complement strand
ATGGGTATCCATTGGGTGATGACAGGGGTGGCTGGGGAAAGAAGCTGAGTGGTGTCTGTCCACAGAAGGGTCATCCTATCCACTTGATTATTAAACTCCTCCTCCACTGAGGTCACCTGTCATTGAGCACTCACATAGGATACAAATATCTTCACAGGTTTTGACCATTCAGAGAGGTCCCTCCACATACCTCTTCCCCAAATTTCTTTGTCATCAATTTTCCAATCATGCTTCTTCCAAGTCCCTGACCATCCAGCCAAACCGTTGGCTACAGCCCATGAATCAGTATATAATTGCACGTCTGGCCATTTTTCCTTCCATGCAAAGTGCACAACCAGGTGCACTGCTCAAAGTTCTGCCCACTGAGATTTCCCTTCACTGCTGTCTGTCAGGGATGTCCTAGAAAGGGGCTGTAGTGCTATAGCTGTCCACATTTAGGGGGTGCCTGCATATCATGCAGAATCATCTGTGAACCAGGCCCTAGTCTTCTCTTCCTCTGTCAACTGATGATAGGGAACTCCCCATGAGGCCATTGGTGCAGGCTGGGGAAGAGAAGTCAGGGTGGCAGGGTGGAGACCATGGACATTTGTGCCACTTCCTCATGTAACTTACTTGTGCCTTCAGGACCTGCTCAAGTCTGATCACGTATATACCACTTCCATTTGATGATGGAATGCTGGTGTACATGACCCACTTTATGGCTAGATGGGTCAGAAAGTACCCAGTTCATGATAGGCAGTTCAGGTTGCAAGGTGACTTGATGACCCACAGTCAAACGGTCAGTTTCCAACAAAGCCCAGTAACAGGCCAAGAGCTGTCTCTCAAAAGGAAAGTAGTTATCTGCAGAATATGGCAGAACCTTGCTCCAAAATCCTAGAGATCTCCGTTGTGATTCACCTATGGGTGCCCGCCAAAGGCGCCAAACAGCATCCCTATCTGACACTGACACCTCAAGCACCATTGAATCTGCTGGGTCATATGGCCCAAGTTGCAAAGCAGCTAGCACAGCAGCCTGGACCTATTGCAGAGCCTTCTACTGTTCTGGACCCCACTCAAAACTGGCAGCCCTTTGGTTCACTCAATAAATGGGCCAGAGTAACACACCCAAATGAGGAATGTGTTGCCTCCCAAATCCAAACAGGCCTACTAGGCATTGTTTCTCTTTCTTGGTTGTATGAGGAGCCAAATGCAGCAACTTATCCTTCACCTTACAAGGAGTATACCTCAACAGGCCTCACACCACTGGATCCCTAGAAATTTTACTGAGGTAGAAGGTCCCTGAATCTTCGTCAGATTTATTTCCTACCCTCTGGCACGCAAATGTCTCACCAATAAGTCCAGTGTGTTTACTACTTCTTGCTTACTGGATCCAATAAGCATAATATCACCAATGTAACGGACTAGTGTGATATCGTCCAGAAGTGAAAAGTGATCAAGTTCTCTCCGAATAAGATTATGAGACAAAGCCGGAGAGTTGATATACCTCTGAGGTAGGACAGTAAAGGTATATTCCTGGCTTTTCCAGCTGAAGACAAATTGCTTCTGGTGGGCCTTATGGACAGGAATGGAGAAAAAGGCATTTGCCAAGTCAATGCCTGCCTAACAGGTACCAGGAGATGTGTTAATTTGCATAAGCAATGAAACCACATCTGGCATAGCAGCTGTAATTAGAGCCACCACTTGGTTAAGCTTACGATAATCCACTGTCATTCTCCAAGATCCAGCTGTCTTCTGCACAGGCCAAATAGGAGATTTGAATGAGGATGTGGTGGGAATCATCACCCCTGCATCTTTCAAGTCCTTTATGGTGGCACTAATCTCTGCAATCCCTCCAGGGATGTGATATTGCTTTTGATTTCCTATTTTTCTAGGTAGAGGCAGCTCTATTGGCTTCCATTTGGTCTTTCCCACCATAATAGCCATCACCCTACCAGCCAGGGAACCAATGTGGGTGTTCTGCCAGTTGTTAAGTATGTCTATGCCAATTATGCATTGGGGAAATGACCACAGGTTGAGTCCAGAGACCCACTGGACCCACTCTAAGTCAAACTTGAGCTAAAGCTCCATTAATTACCTGACCTCCAAAAGCCCCTACTTTAACTGGAGGACCACAATGATGTTTTGGGTCCCCTGGAATCAATGTCTGCTCACAGCCAGTGTCCAGTAGTCCCTGAAATGTCTGATCATTTCCCTTTCCCCAGTGACAGTTACCCTGGTAAAAGGCTGGAGGTCTCCTTGGGGAAGGATGGCAGAAGACTCACCACATAAACTGTGGGTAATGTAGTGGAGTCCTTCTTCAATGGGACCCAGCCTCCCACTTATTCAAGGGGTTCTGGGTCTGTAAACTGGCTCAAGTCTGGAAGCTGATTGAGAGTCTGTGATTCTCTGTTTTTATAATTCAAATTAGTCTTTTGTCCATTCGACCTAAAAGTTTTCTGCTTGTATAAATTAAGTAGGAATGCAGTAAGCTTCCTATCAATTTCACTTCTAGGAACACCATAAATAATTACCCAATGCCAGAGCTCTACATGAATCAGACTATTCTGATTGCTGCTTTGCCTCTGCTGTCCATTACGGTAGTTACACCCACCTGGCCTTTGATGGTTGAGTGCTGCCACTTGGCCCCTGCCAGAACCAATTGTTCCCATTGTATTTAAATTTTGCCACCCCAGAAACCAATTATTCCCATTGTATTTAAATTTTCTAGTTGAGCGGCTGCATTTCCCACTGTTAGATCTTACATACAGAGAAGAGCAATTACAGGGGTCATCAAAGATGCAGGTGCTGCCCTTACAAATCTATTTTGCAAGGCATTGGTCAAGGGTATATTTTCTGGACCCTCCCAGCTGGGATGAGTAGGTCTAAGATGACTAATCCACTTCACCATCCCAATCTCCCTAAGCCTTTGGATCCCTTCCTCTACATTAAACCAAGGGAGATCAGGCATTACCAGCTTGCTCACAGTGGGCCATCTTTTAATTCATATTTCAGCTAACCAAGCAAATAAACTATTAGAACCTTTTTAAACTCCCCAAGCTGCAAAATTAATAACAGAGTTCTTTCTTAGTGGACCCAAATCGGTAAATTCAGCCTGATCCAATTCTGTTCTTTCCACCATTATCCCATACCCTTAATATCCATTCCCATGCCTGTTCTCCAGATTTCTGTTTATATAAATTAGAGAACTCAAACAATTTTCTTTGAGTGTAGCACACTTCCTCATGGATCATACTCTCAACCTCACCTCTAGGGACCCACTGGGACTTTATTCTAGTTATAAGTCTAGAAGCAAACAGGGGTGTTGGGGGTGGCTCCTAAGGAGAAACAACATTATCTTGCTTGGCAACTGCCTCAGGGCAGGTCATCACTGTTGCCTCAGGCAGCACAGGGTTTATCTCCTCAGAAAAGGTGGAAAGGCTGATGGCAGCATGGGTTGGGGAGGGGATGTTGTCATTACTGTGAATGGGAAAGCTGTTCCTTCTGGCAAAAAAGTTTCATCAGAGTTTACAAACTCAGTGTCCCCAGCTTCATCAGGTCCTCCCATACATCCCCATTCCAAGTTGCAGAGTCCCATTCTCTTCCAATCAATGCCCTCACTTTAACAGTAGACACCTGGCGAGGCTGTGCATGCACCTTTTGTTGCAGGTCAGCCACTTGCAGGATAAGAGCTGTGTCTGTTTTCCCACAATTTCAGCTCTTTCTCTACAGGAGATAAGACTCTCACTCAGGGTAATCTTGGCAGATTTGAGGCTCAGTATCTGCTTCTGAAGCCAGGAGACAGAATCCCTAAGTTCATCATCTTCTTTCATCCTTTTGTCCACTGAAGTTAGGAGCAACCAACCAGCTTCATTATGTTCTTTGGTTCTCCATATATGGTCAAAGGTATTATGTATAGAGTCACTAAACTTCTTGCCTCTCGTGAGCAGTGAATTAGGAGTGTCAAATGCATTAATTTTGCATAACTCTCTAAACAGTTCACACCAAGGAATATCAGTGTTCTCCATACTATTGGAAGTACAGTCCTTAGCATTTTTGGGTCTAATCATATCAAGCAGCCAACTCTAGAAACCCCGAAACCAATGAAAGAACTCCATCCTTAATATTCTGTTCCTCTGGAACCACTCCTTGTACCAAAATATGTATTAGTCAGTTTTCTAGAGGGACAGAACTAAGAGGATGGATATGTATCTATATCTACATCTATCTCTATCTATAGATATAGATCTATATCTCTATCTATAGATATAGATCTATATCTATCTCTATCTATAGATATACGTGGCTATAGATATATATATCAATATACATAGCTATAGATATATCTATCTCTATCTATAGATCTATATCTATATCTCTATATCTATAGATCTATATCTATATCTCTATATAGATCTATCTCTATATCTATAGATCCATATCTATATCTCTATATCTATAGATCCATATCTCTATCTATAGATCTATATCTATATCTATATCTATAGATCTATATCTCTATCTATAGATCTATCTCTATCTATAGATCTATATCTCTATCTATAGATCTATATCTCTATCTATAGATATATATCTCTATCTCTATCTATAGATATATATCTCTATCTCTATCTATAGATCTATATCTATATCTATCTCTATCTATAGATATACATGGCTATAGATATATATATCAATATACATAGCTATAGATATATCTATCTCTATCTATAGATCTATATCTATATCTCTATATCTATAGATCTATATCTATATCTCTATATCTATAGATCTATATCTATATCTCTATATCTATAGATCTATATCTATATCTCTATATCTATAGATCTATATCTATATCTCTATATAGATCTATATCTATATCTCTATATAGATCTATATCTATATCTCTATATAGATCTATATCTATATCTCTATATCTATAGATCTATATCTCTATCTATAGATCTATATCTCTATCTATAGATCTCTATCTCTATCTCTATCTATAGATATATATCTCTATCTCTATCTATAGATATATATCTATATCTATCTATATAAAGGGGAGTTTAGTAAGTATTAACTTACATGATCACAAGAGCCCACAATAGGCTGTCTGCAAACTGAGGAGCAACGAGAGCCAGTCCGAGTCCCAAAACTGAAGAACTTGGAGTCCAGTGTTTTAGGGCAGGAAGCATCCAGCAAGGGAGAAAGATGTAGGCTGGGAGGCTAGGCCAGTCTCATTGCTTCCCATTTTTCTGCTTGCTTTATATTCCCAGGTGGCTGATTAGATGGTGCCCACCCAATTAAGGATGGGACTGCTGTCCCAAGCCCACTGACTGAAATGTTAATCTCCTTTGGCAACACCCTTACAGACACACCCAGGATCAATATTGCATCCTTCAATCCAATCAAGTTGACATTCAGTATTAACCATCACACATACCAAGTAATTTTTTATTGGATGTTGGACATTTTACATTTTACATTGCAAGGTACTGGGTTTTGTTACATTCCTTTAAGAAATGTTGGATCTTGTTTTAGTGTGCAGTTAAATTATTTTGCACTAGTTAAATCCTTTCAAAGCTTTGTTTTTAAGCATCATTAAGGTACGTTCAGAGAAGTCTTTACCCAGGGTAATTTAGCCCCACTGCTAAAATAACTTTATTATTTATTTATTATTGATAAGCTTGTGAGAATTCCACTTGAAACCCCATGTGTGATGAGGTCTTTTCACTCCGACTGATGGGAATACAAACTCTTCACAGTCCTGTGTGAGCCACAGAGGCTGTTCAGCATTCTCTCCTTTGGTGGTTCTTTTCTCAGACTCAGATTGTTTCCTCACACATGTATGTACGTCAGTGTTCAGCAAAGACTCTGGGGATCTCTTTGCATGTCATTGAAGGTTTCTCTCTGTACAGTGCCCTCCTTTCAGGTGCTTTATCTTGCACTCTGATCTCCTCCTCAACCCAGTGAGGCCTTCAGCCCAGTCTTCTGGTGATGAATTCTCTCAGCTCAACTCTTCTGCTGCTCCCATATTGCATTAGTACTTGAGGATGCCTTTAGATACCTATCCTTTAGACAGTAATCTGATGAGTAGAGATCATCATTCTTACTTGTTTTCTTTCTTTCAGGCATCACCAACCTGTACTACCAGCTGTCCAATGTTTTAATCCCTCATTTCACATACTTTGTCCAATTTAGCTTGTTGTTCAGTATCTGAGGATACATCCAGTCCCTATTATTTTATATGGACCAGAAGAGAGAATATGGTACAGCTACTTTTGGAAAAAATTGCTCATTTAAAGCTAAATCTATTCAAACACTATGACCCAGCAATTCCACTCCTAGGAATCATTGTCAAAGAACTAGCACTCACTGTGGTTTCTAAACATGATTCTCCATGAAAAGAAAACAGATTTCCTTGGAATAAGAAATGATTTTAGAGCTAGTATGGGGAAAGTACAAGATCATCCTAGAACATCGTATTGAGCCAGAAAATCACAAAGCGCTCAAAGAATGATGAATGATGCAGCTATGTCAAGATAACATAGGATACAGTTTGATGGAGTTCCTACTGATCAAATCTCAAACATTTTGCTCATAAAAATAAATATCGGGTTGGGCGCGGTGGCTCACGCCTGTAATCCCAGCACTTTGGGAGGCCGAGGCATGTGGACCATGAAGTCAGGAGTTCAAGACCAGCCTGGCCAAGATGGTGAAACCCCATCTCTACTAAAAATACAAAAAAATTAGCTGGGCGTGGTGGCGGGCACCTGTAATCCCAGCTACTCCAGAGGCTGAGGCAGAGAATTGCTTAAAACCTGGAGGGGCAGAGCTTGCAGTGAGCCAAGATCGCAGCACTGCACTCCAGCCTGGGCGACAGAGCAAGACTGTCACAGAAAAATAAATAAATAAATATTGATAGTAATGGATTATATACTATGGTATGCTAGTAAACTGGCTCTCCATAATGGAAAAATAAAGAAGCTCTGGTTGGCAGTATTTGCTATTTCTATATTGTAAATACTCCATTATGGTTGATTTTAAGCTACCAACATTATGACAATTCACACAGATTTAAGAAGAGTTGCCTAAACGTGGTTCTCATGAGTAAGTGAGCTTGCCATAAGATATCAATTATAACTATAGAAAAAAATAAGGATACAGAAATTTATACATATTATCAATAAATGATTAAATTACTTAATGGAGGAGAAGGGAAAGCTCTTGCTTATGGTGAAATTTCAACTAACGTGGAAGAAATGATGGAGTTGAAAATAATCAATGGATGCCAAAACTAGCAAGGAAAGTTTTAACAAAGAGCTCTAGATGTACACAATCTGAAAAAAAAAAAACCACTCTAAAATTACTTAGTATTTACCAAAAAGAACATTTGTGTAACTTCACAGTAAAGATGCCATTTGCTTTATTAGTTTCAATTTCCAACACGTACGGCTTAGACTATATAACCAAGTAATCAAGGTCAGTATCTTCAGTACCGAGACAAACTGACATTATGTACCTCCTATTAGAATGCACTGATTAGGGCCAGTGTCACTTCTCTGCCACACCTACTGCATCATTCAGGGTTCTCCAGAGAAACAGGACCAACAGGGTATATTTATACAAAGAGATGTATTCTAAGGAACTGGCTTATGTGGTTGTGGGGCTGGAAAATCCAAATCTGTAGGGCACGCTGGCAGGCTGGAAACTCAGGTAGGGTTTCTACATTACAGTTTTAAGGGAATCCTTAGGGAATCCTTTTGCTTTTAGGCCTTCACTGTTTGGATGAGGTCCACTCATATTATTGAGGGTTCTCACTTTGTCTAAAAGTCAACTGATTCTAGATGTTCACCACATCTACACACTATTTTCACAGCAACCTCTAGATTAGCATTTGACCTGACAAATGTGGACCATAGCCTAGCCAAGTTGACACATAAAATTTAACCATCCCATCTGCCAAAAAGTCATAATCTGAATTCAATCATAAAAAATAGACAAATAGATATGGTGGAACATTTTATGAACTAACAGGCCTATTGCCTTCTAAATGTCAAAATAAATGACAAAAAGAAGACTAAGAATCTCATTTAGATTAAAGTAGACCAAAGAAACATGACAATTAAACATAGTCTAGGATCCTGGATTTTGAGTGGTGTTGGATAAAAAAAGTTCCTGAGATAATTGATGAAATCAGATTATGCAGTGCAGGTTAGGTAATTTTCTAATTTTGACTTATTTTGCTGTGGTTGTGTAAGAGAAAGTCATCATTCTTAGGAAGCACTCTCGGAAACACTAGAGATGGAGTGTGCACAGTATCTCCTTCTCCCTGGAAGATATCTGAATCCTGGAACCTGCAAACATATTTTCTATGTTTGCAAAAGGGACTTTGCAGATGCAATTAAAAATCGAAAAATGAAGAAATTATCCTTGATTATCATGGTGGGCCCAATGTAATCACAAGGTTCTTAGAAAAAAAGCAAGAGGGAAGCAAGAGAAGCAGAGGCAGAGACTAGGAGATTAGAGCAGAGGCTGATTTCAAAGTGATGCAAATGCTGGCTTGGAAGATGGAAGGGGCTGCAAGTCAAGGAATCCAGGCAACCTTGAGAAACCAGAGGATTGAGGCAGCCTCTAGAACGTGGAAGGGGCAGGGAGCAGATTCTCCCAGACTCTCCAGAAGACCTGCTGATACATTTTTTTAGCCCCAGAAATCTCATTTCGGATTTCTGAATTCTAGAATGTTAAGGAATTTGTGGGGTTTTTTTTTACTTTCCTTTCCATGTACATTTTATTTTTAATTTTTTAAAATTTTAGATTCAGAGGTACATGTGCAGGCTTGTTACATGGATATATTACATAATGGTGAGGTTTGGGCTTCTAGCACACCCATCACCCAAATAGTGAACATTGTACCAAGTACATAATTTTTTTAACCCTCGGCCTCTCCCAGGCTCCTCACTTTTGGAGTTCCCAAGATCTATTTTTGCCAATTTTATGTCCACGTGTAGCCATTGCTTAGCTCCCACTTATAAGTGAAAGCATGCAGTATTTGAGTTTCTGAGTTATGTGTTACTGTAGCAACAGAAACCTACTATACACTCAAATGATTCTGAAAAAGTATGCATTTGTTTGAAACTATATATAAAGAGACAAAAATAGACAAAGCACATATAAAACATTAGCAAATTTTGGTTAAAAGGGTGTTCCTCATACTATTACACATTTTCTTTGAAGTAATGCTAAAACAGAAAGTTACAGAAAGGGACAAAAAAGATCTGTGACTTTTAAAAAAAAAAGATAAAGAAATGTTTACAGTTAAATTGACAGGATGGATAGAATTTGTTTCAAATAAACCAGGAAGGAGGTATGGATGGGGAACTTTGGACGAGCACTTGTTAGGAATGGGTAATGTGTAAGAGTTTTCAGTGTATTATTTTTGTCTGTTTTTGCATTTGTTTCAGATTCTTCTCAAAATATTCAAAAACAGGATCATTCTATCTAAAAATCGATGGAAGGGAAAATGATGCAATACTAGCATTTCATGTAACCATCAGTCTAGCTGGGGAGTTGGCAGCCTTTACTGAAAAGAAAAAATTGGCATGAACTCTAGCAGTTTGGTGTCCTATCAGTTTAATATATTTTATTTACTTGAACAGACAAACCGGGCAACAAGAGGCTTTTCTCTGAATATGTCAGCCAGCAGACGTTAACCTTTCTCTACTGTGAAGGCTACGCTGCTGTTTCTGCAGTTCATTTTGCTTTTTGTTTGCTTTTATAATTGTAGGCACTACCAAAAGTGTTTAGAGCACTCTGTTGAAAATGGCAGTATTTGAAGAAACTGGATGTCACTTAAAATATGATCCTTGGATAAACATCACATGCTGCTGGCCTTCTTACAAAATGAGTAAGCACTGACTTTCTCTTTCTGGCTGCCAAAGCCACTTTGATTTTCCTGGAGACTTCTATTTAGCAGGTAGTTTGAGGGGACTATGGGGAGGGGACAAATATCGTACATTTGGATTACAATCTTTATTTGCTTCACCTGCCCTCTTTTTTGAGTAAAAGAGTTAAGGACATGTTTCTATACAATGAAAAACAAACTAAAATTATTCAGAGAGTTAACCTAACTTTTTGCCCTTCCCCAATGAGACATATAAATGAGAGCTTGCATTTCTTGGCCAGATCCGATGAATTTAAATTTTCCATTAACATATAATAGGTTTAGACTATAAATCCCTTTGAGCGTGGGAATCAGTGAGGAAAAACAACACTCTGGAAGCTATTGCTCAAATAAGCTCAAACACTTATTTTAGAATATACCATGCCTGTAAAGAGAAAGATAATACATTTTATGTGTGTCAATTTTTAAAAAAACAGCAAGATTTTTAAAAAGCCATTTTATCTCTGAGAGATTCAATGACCATGTTTGATGACAAGCCAGATGGCAGCATTCCCTAGACCCGGTGCCAAGACACATGACAGGAGCCGCAATTTACCTTCCGTGGTGAGGCTAGCTGCTGAAGCACACCACAGCTGCAGGCGAGCGGGCTGCTGCCGGTAGGTGCAAGCACAGTTGGTTCCCTCCCAATTTGGATGCAGCAGGTAAGAGGCTGAATCAGTACCCAGCAATTATGGAATTGGCATGCGCTGCATTGTTTACTCACAGTAATATTCCTACCGGACTTTATTAAAACACCATCTGTTGTCAGGGCAGACAAAGAATCCACATAGAAATACATAGCAAGACAGAGAGAAAAAGAGAAAATAAAAACATGCACGTGTGTACTGGAGCGCTGCTACAGGATTTGGTTGCATTTCTAAGAGGCCACGTTTGACCCTGAGGGTTATCTTTTAACATGATATCCCTACTCTCCCAGATTTTTGTTTTGGGTTTCCGCTGCCAGCTAGGCCAAAACAATTTGTGGTCCAAATGAAGTTGGCTGTGTGTGAGTCAGGCTGGAATTGAAGGCAGCGAGTGCACGCATACGGGTGGAACCCAATCACATTAGCAGGACTACAAATTAAAACCAAAATGATGCAAAGTCAAGTCATCCCACTGAATGATGCTCAGAGTAAACTTCTGAGTTAATGTCCAGAATATAGGCTGAGTAATAAAGGATATCTGCCAATAATAATAATACCTTCAGGGCACAAGGTAAAGTGACTGTTTTTTACAATCAGCTGTTTTCTCTCACTTTTTTTAATCCTGCAGATGGGGACCAGATATTTCTAATACACAGCTGGTCTCTGCAAGTGGCCAAGTGTAATTTTTCATACACCCGCATACCATTCCAGGTGAAATTAATTACTGAGAATTCCTCATCAGAAAATATACTAATAAAATGCGATGCAAGTAATTAAATATGCAAATACAAGAACGACGGCATTAAAACTCTGATATGTCATTTCAATTCTTCTAATAGACATCTGTCTATTCGGAACTTCAGTGCGAAACAAAATCAGAAACAGAACAAACCTTAAAATAAAAGTGTAAACAAGTCCCAATGCATATGGCAAAATGCAAGCTGCAGGAAAATGAATCTAAAACAAGCACTGAATACTTTCCTGGTAAAAAAGTTGGCTCAGCTAAAATATATATTCAAATGTTACGGAGCAAATGAATTAGGAGCATTTGGAGAAGCCGAGGGGAAGCTCATGCCGTGTATGATGTCATCGTCTGCTTTGCCTGATACTCAGACCCCTGATATTCTTGCCAGGATATGAGCAGTCATTCTAATTTACAGAAATGCTGTTTACCACTTTGCAAGCCATACCAATATTTACAGAGAATTCAATGAATGAATGAAAAGAAACAGCTGCGACTCCTTCCACCTCATTGCCCATTTCATCTCTAACTCTCCTCCTCTGTGCTGTCTTATTTATAGTCATTCTGTTGAGCAATGGATTGGGTTTGGCAGCATTCAATACACTGATGCCTGTTTGTTAAACACATCACTATTCCTGCTATGAATTTTCCCTTTCCTAAGTGTGCTTTATAGAGAATACCATGATTGACTGACTATATTCTGCATTTATATTTTAATAGGCTTCAAAATGCATGAATACCCCAATTATGTATTTTTTCCCTAAAACTGCTTATATGGTGGTTTTAAGTCTATTCTTAATATCATAATTTATACTCACTGATGATATTTTGCTATTTGGTAATGTATGTGTGCTACAGCATAAGTTACTGTAAAGAATGTCTAAAAAATAAAAAGGCACAATTCTTTCCTTCAGGGAGCTTAAAATTTAGTTGGGGAAGTAATGTATATGCTGAAACAACAGAAGGCAATATTAAGTTATATGTGATGAATATTAACATGTAAAGCCAACCAGCAGAAATGCAGAAACTCAGAGGAAGAAGCAACCAGGGAAAAGAGTTATTTTTCATAAGATCTAGCCTGTGAAAGTTAAAAAAGATTATGAACAGGTAAAGAGGAAAGAACAGAGCAGGGTCTTTGGGGGACACTAAACTGGGTTCTTGGTCCAAAACAGCAAAGGCAATGATGATTTCATGAGTAACACTTTTAAGAGGCTCCCATGGTTTATTGCACCCTGCCCAAGGACACCAACCTTCCAGGGAACATGGTGAAGGTTTTCATGAGGGAGAAAGGAATAGAATCTCTGAAAATATGTTTAGGCTCAATCAAATTTAGATGTTCAGCATTGTCTGCAGAAAGGCTATATAAACATTTGGAGACCAAAGGTTACCAAGAAAGAATAAACTGGTGAATTGATTGTAGTAACTGAAAATACTTGAATAACGAGGATACCTTGCAGGACCTCAACGCCCTTGTTCTAAGTTTGCTCCTGCTGTATCAGAAGAATTTTGTTTAGATTCTCCACTAGCTCCTGGAGCAAACCAAATGAGCATGCATATTTGATGGTTATAATAACCTGGGCTACAATAAGTGAGCTCCATACTCAGGGCACCAGAATGACAGATGTTAAAGCTTCAGCCAGGCTTGAAAGGAAGGAGACTGAGGTCAAAGACAAATACAATAACTGTCTCTGTAATAGGTCTGAGGGTGAAGCCAAACCATGGATTAAATAAAGGCTTTGCAAGGTGTGAAGGCAGGAAGAGCTGGAATAGGTGAGGTGATGAGGTGTGAGCGGCACATGTGAGTAGACTGAGAATAGAGGGTGTCTTAGTTCACTTTGTGCTGCAGTAACAGAATACCACAGACTGGGTCATTTATATGGAAAATAAATTTAATTTTTTCCACTTCTGAAGGCTGGGAAGCCCAAGGTCAAAGAGTGGCATCTGGTGAGGGCCTCCTTACTACATCATCCCATGGTAGGAGGTGGAAGGACAAGAGAGCAGAAGAGCAAGAATGGGCATGAGAGGGCTAACTCACTTTTACTCAGGAACCCCCTCCTGAGATAACTAACTCACTCCCTCAGTGATGACATTAATCCATTCATGAGGATGGAGCCTGCATGTTCTAATCATCCCATAATGGGCCCACCTCTTACTACCATCACAATGGCAATTAAATTTCAATATGGGCCCCGGAGGGGACATGCAAAAAACAGCAGAGGTCATGAATATTATAGGGTTATCTGCGCCCTGGCTTTATTTGGTGCTAAGTAGGGGCCCAGGCACAGGCTATCCAGGAAAGAAAGAGAGAAGAGAGAAAAATAAATTGCCATTTTGCCATTTTACCCCATAGTATACATTTTATTAAAGACTTTCTTCTCATCCTGATAAAAATTGATTTCATTTAAATAAAAGCATGACTTTAAATTATATCACCATTAACTTCAGGTCTTTAAATTATATCATTAGTAACATCATTAACAGAAAAAGTTGATAAATCGATAACTATCTACATGGAATGATTCGAGATTGAAAAATATTTTCTTCATAAACGATTCCCAAAGAACTGTTTCTACAAGGTAATATTTAGCTCATCTTTTACCCTCATTTTCCCAAGTATTCTTAACCCTTCCTCACTGGAAAATTCTATGGGAATAAGCTTCTGGTTTAGAGATTATGCTGGAAGAATAAGAAATATCTCCTGGTCCCTTTGTCATCACAGTCCTTCCTTCCATCCATCATATGCCAAATGTGAATCTCTTCTCTGGAGCTGGTGTCTTCACATGTAGGCCATTGGTTTCTGCATTAATTCAAGGCATACACATCAAAATGTCTGTGGTTTTTATGAAAAATAGATATGCAAACAACTGGAACATTCTACTCTGGATTGTTTCACCATTCTCAATGATTCATGTTTTACACACACAGATGTACACACACACACACACACACACACACACACACAGCCCTGTGGTTTTTAACTTTTGGTCAAAACCAAAACAGAACCCATAAATTCAACAAGGTTGTCTCTGGTCCCCAACTGTGCTGTCAAGTAGCCCAAATAGTACCACGGAAATGATAATCCTAGGCTGTCACCACCCATACTCTCCTGTCACTGCAGGCCTGGCTGGCTCCCTTGGGTGAGAAGTTTTGAAAATAGTAGAATAAAAATATCCTAAGGCTTGTGTTTATACCACAGAATAGAAAGTTAAGAGAGCCTTTAGGGAAGCTCTTCATGGCCCTTTCTATCTTGAATTGCACAAGAGAGTTCTTCTCTATAAGGCTGAACCTTGGCATTATATAAATATTGACAGGAAGAATGCAACTGCAGGCTTTCCACAGGCACTCCTTGTTGTGTTGAAATGCCAAGAGCCTCTAAATACAGATAGAATCTTCCTTTCTTTTGCTTTTTCCAATGGTAACAGTAAGTATTTTAGGCACAGATCTCCACGGTGTCTCAATACATGGACACTAGATTGAAACACTCAGTGTTGATGAACTGATCAGTGGTAAAATCTAACACTTTAGCACAGAAGCCAGGTCTATTAGGGAGCAGAATAGCTGGCATTGAGACAGACTTCTTAGGGGTCTCCACACTGAATAGTTGCCCAGAAGTAAGTGATAGCTGCAAGGAGAAGCTTTCAGATAGAGCTAAAAGGAATTAGAATCTGTCTTTATATTTTAAAAGCTGGAATACTAAAACTAGATTCCTGGCACGGCAAGGAATCTAGTTTTGCAGTTACTGCAAGCAAGGAACATACTTTGATTGTCTTTCAGGTACATGCATAGTGAAATTAAAGGAGTTTTCCTGTTGAAGGAGAAGGATTTGAGACAAGAGTGATATGGTTTGGCTCTGTGTCCCCACCCAAATCTCATCTCCAATTGTAATCCTCATAATTCCCATGTGTCAAGGAAGGGACCTGGTGGGAGGTGATTGGATAATGGGGGTGGTTTCCCCCAGGCTGTTCTGGTGATATTGAGGGAGTTCTCATGAGAGCTGATGGTTTTAAGTTCCCTCTTCTTGCTCTCTCTCACCTGCTGCCATGTAAGACATGCCTGCTTCCCCTTCTTCCATGATTGTGAGTTTCCTGAGGTCTTCTCAGCGATATGGAGGCCTCAGGAAATTTTTTCTTTATAAATTACCCAGTCTAGGCCGGGAGCGGTGGCTCAAGCCTGTAATCCCAGCACTTTGGGAGACCGAGGCTGGCAGATCACAAGGTCAGGAGATCAAGACCATCCTGGCTAACACGGTGAAACCCCATCTCTACTAAAAATACAAAAAATTAGCCAGGGGCGGTGGCGGCGCCTGTAGTCCCAGCTACTCAGGAGGCTGAGGCAGGAGAATGGCGTAAACCCAGGAGGCGGAGCTTGCAGTGAGCCGAGATCGTGCCACTGCACTCCAGCCTGAGCGACAGAGCGAGACTCCGTCTCAAAAAAAAAAAAAAAATAATAATAAATTACCCAGTCTTGGGCAGTTCTTTAGAGCAGTGTGAGAACAGACTCATACAATGAGTCTCTCTTTATCTTGAACTGTTAGAGAGAATGAAGAATTCTTGGCAAGGATTGAGAAAATGGTCCAAGACAGAACTTTTTAAAAAAGATTAATTTGTAGTCAATAGGAAGAATGTATATATTAATACATATATAAAAGAGGACTGGGCCGGGCACAGTGGCTTATGCCTGTAATCCCAGCACTTTGGAAGTCCGAGGCAGGTGGATCACTTGAGGTCAAGAGTTCAAGATCATCCTGGCCAACAGAGTGAGTCTCACTCTGTCACCCAGGCTGGAATGAAGTGGCACGATCTCGGCTCACTGCAGCCTCCGCCTCCTGGGTTCAAGTGATTCACCTGCCTCAGCCGCCAGAGTAGCTGGGATTACAGGTGTGCACTACCCTTCCTGAGAAACCTTTAAGGCAAAGAAGTACGTAGAGAATACACAGAAATTTTCCAAGGATCATGAAGGTTAAGAATTGGGATTCATACCTAACACTACAGAAAGTGTCTATATAAATTCATAGAGAATAAATAAGTTATTTTGAATTTTAGTGGAAAAAGCTGAACAAGACCCCAGAATACTTCAGATGAGATAAGATAAGGATGAACTATGGCTGATGACAGAAAAAAAAATGCCTTATTTGAAGAAAAGAGAATAAATAGACCTGAAAGCAGAAAAAATCCCTATGTCAAGAAATTATAATCATTTATGTAAAATCATTTAACATAGAATGCACATTAAAAGGCAATGGGGTAAAGATCAAAAGATCAAAAGACAATACAAATGATTTTGGTATGGAGGTAGCTCAGAGATTATCTTGTCAAATGAGATTATGGGTAATATTTTCCTGATACAGATGAAAATCTGGCATAAAGGCAATTTATGGTCACAGTAGTATTCAACTGTTGGGTCACTGTTTCTTTTCATTCTTCTAAAAGTAGAACACCTAAAACATTCTTATTTTTTCTGCAGTTTCATGAATCAGGAAGTTGAAGAATAATAAGGAAACCCTTATACTCAATTTAGTTCTAAGCATCATTTAATAATTTGAACTAATGGGAAACGTAAGGGAGACTGTCCATGTCATTTTAACTCTTGGTTACCAAGGAAATATATTAATGATGATTAGAGCCAAACAAAACTGAGATAGGATCGAGTTGGGATGGGAAAGCATGCCATGGGCTTTGGCATAAGATACATCTGGTTTTAAGCCTCCTAGACTCAATTATTTACTATCTTAGGGACTTTGATCAAGTCAACACTTCTTTTCTGAGACTTTTGTTTTCATTTCTAATGAGTAGTTTACATATATCCAGAATACAGTGTCATTACCATATGCTGCCCTAGATCAAAAAATTTGACTTCAGAAATTCTGTAATTCTCTCTTCTATCAATAAGGTCACTGAAATAGAAAATTACTGTAATAATTCAAAATCTCGCAATTAACTATGTCTGCATATGGGGAGAGGAAAAATAGTCATACTGGGCAAGTTACTAAGCAACCACTTTGTAAAACCCTATCTCACCAGGCTGAGAAGAGAACAAAGAAATGATGCTTTCCTGTTAGGCCCTATTAATCCCCTTTAAAGGTGACACATTACCAACAAAAAGATGGCCAGTCATTTCTTTAACAACTTGTTGGTAAATGGGGTTTTGCATTTCTATGACTCTCCTTCTAATTTTCCTATATTAAATTTTAATGTTTCTTGAGACATGGACCTCTTTGGGAGTCATGGAAGCTCCAGTAAATAAATGAATGCTTGAAAAACCTAACAGATAGTTGCACACATATTTTGTCCTTGAAACCCACTTATGGATCCCCAGATAAAGCGAAACATAGAAGTATATTATTTCTAATTTCTTAGATTTGCACTCAAACTCCAAAAATATTTACTTATTAAAATAAAATGCAGATATTAAACCCAAGGAAATTATGTTTACTAAAAAAGAAGACAAACAAAAATACTCCAAAAGTCACTTTTATAAGAAATATTGCAATTAAAAATACTGAATGGGGCTATGATGGAATGCAGGACAGTGTATTCTTTGCGTGATCCCATTTGAAAATTTAATGGGACTCATAATCTCAGAAAAATTGACTACAATCTGCAGATGAGAGTCAACCTATATTTTATTAGCATAAAGAAAAAAAAAAAACACTACTTTAAAAAACCCACAGCTGTTTTTCCAGATGATTCCAGAAACTACCTTACTGTAATTATGTGGGGGCACTTTTGAAATGCTGATTTTTTTTTTTTTTTTTGCCATACCTACTGAATCAAAATCTCTACGATGATGCCTGTAAGTGTGTTTTTAACAAGCATCCTGACTGATCTTTAGCTAAGCTAAAATTTGAGAAACACTTTGCCATAGTTTTAAATATCTTCATTAAGAGTATCTGATATCTAACCAAAACTTAAATCCTACAATATTAAATTTCACTTCGCTGAATGAAATACATTTCCAACCTAGATTGCCCTATATTTTTGGTATGGATACTTTTTATAGATTTGATTGTATTGTCCATGGGAAGTTAAAAGAGCTAAAACACTAAGGGGTAAAAAACTGCCTATCTGTGATTGTCATCTTGTTCAGTTAATAAGAAATAATAACAATCATATCATCCTGGGAAGCAACATGAGTTGTAGTGACCACTTTCACCTTGACAGCAGAACAGTAGGATCTCCAGAGATTATTTTCTGAGAAAGGCATAATACCCAAAAACTGAGTGTTATTTAAAGTTTTCAAAAGAAATAATTTCATAATGATATGAACGTTGTAAGTCTAACAAAATTCAAGATGTATCTTTCCTTTAATTCTGATTATAGAATTTGTAAATTAGTAGAATAAAGAGGGATACATTTTTGTCTTTGGTATCACTTTAATCTTTCAAACTTGTGTTTATTTATTTTTTCTTTTTCCCAGGAAGAGAATAAAGTGGGGAGGGGAGGCTTGGAAGGAGGGAGCAGACACAATGAAACTGACAACCATTCCAGAAAAGAATGTTTTTTATGATACAGGAGTCCATTAGGGATTCAACAGAGGCAACTAAACTAATTACAAGAAGCTAAACAGCACCCCTCCCCTAAGGATGACATTCAGTATTGACCTGCTAAGAAGATAAATGCCAAACACATTTATTGTCATAGGGGTCAGTACTTGTCCCGTACTAAAACAATCAAGAATCTGCTGGCACTCTCGGCCTTGCGTCACATGCTACCTGCATGAGAGCATTGTGCATACAAGGAGGAGCTTGTCACACTGGGCAACGCAAGCATGCTGAGGCCGCGGAACGTCTGTGCCAGCACTTTCGCATCATTATCAATCATGCTCTAGCTCTTGCTGGGGCAACAGGAAGGAAATTTGTGGCATATAAATGTAAATCATTGCATGCTCTTTGGAATAGAATAATCATCAAATTGATTTACTAGCTATGCACAGTTCTCAGAGAAAGTTTGAAAGTGGGGAGTGTTTTTGATAGGGTGGAGAGGTTGGCTTTTCCTGAATTATTCATATATAACTAAAATAAGAAGTGATCAGAATTATCTATCACAGCTTTCTTGGTAGTAATTAACACTAATTCCTGGAAGCACACTGGAGTGAGAAGTCAGAGAAGAAATTCTACACCCCATGTCAGTATAATATCTCACCCTTTCGTGTCCTGTTGTGGCCCAAATAAAAGTGTCGGATTTATGCCAGCAGAGTTGGCACGAGTTATGTGCACATTTCTGCTATTCTTATTGTTTATTGTTATGTGTTTAAGTACTTAGAAGGCATCAAGAGGAAGCCAATGGGAAGACCTTCTCCATGACTGTAAATTCATAGTCTTGAGAAACAATGTTGATAGGCTTGGACAGGAATAAACACATCCCTAAAAGCCATACACTTTGCCATAATTTTGGTATCTGAGCAAATCTAAATGGTTTTCTTCTTCTTCTGTCTTCTCCAATGCTGTGCATTATGCTAAATTCAACACTAAAAATGAACAGGCAAATACCTCAAGTGCATGATACATTGACCTACCTTCAGTACTAGGCTAGCACTATTCATAGCATAGGACAGATGCAGTCATCCCAGAATGCACCACCCTGAACACTAATTCCATCAGCAGAATAATAGGAGAACTACAACGTCCTCATCATCCTAGAAACTGTGTTCAGGATCCTCATTTGACAAGCAACATGGGAATGGTAGATGCAAAATGACAAGGTTTGTCCACAATTTCTTGGAAATAATAGAAGTTCTACTTGATTCTCTATTCAGAAAAAAAAAAGAGGATGCCATTATTATAGACCAATGAAAGAAATTATTTTTATTTGATTAGGGTAAAAATAGCAACCTGTCAGATGTAATCTTATATACAGGACAAAATATTTACAATTATGCTACAACTTTTTTTTTTTTTTAGATGGAGTCTCGCTCTGTCTCCAGGCTGGTGTGCTGTGGTGCAATCTCCACTCACTGTAACCTCCGCCTCCCGGGTTCAAGCAATTCACCTGCCTTAGCCTCCTGAGTAGCTGGGACTACAGGCGTGCACCACCAAGCCCAGCTAATTTTTGTATTTTTGAGTAGAGACAGGGTTTCACCATGTTGGTCAGGCTGGTCTCGAACTCTTGACCTTGTGATCTGCCCACCTCGGCCTCCCAAAGTGCTGGAATTGTAGGCATGAGCCACTGCACCTGGCCACAAAATTTGCATTTTCTAATCTATAGTGTAGAGAGGCTGTATATACATTATATATACACACACACACACACACACGCACACACACAGCCTCTCTGTAGTGTAGAGAAAGTAGAAACATATAGTGTACATATGTTTGGTCACAGGGCCTTGAAACATACAGTGTACATATATGCTGTAGAATTTATGCTGAACAGGAGGTTCAAGGGCCTGTGAGAAACATATCGTGTACATATGTTTCAAGGGCCTGTGACCAATTTACCACCAAATTCAAAATCTACTTTAATATATACTTAATAGGATTGAATTCACTTTTTGGTCTTCTCATTATAGCCTCTGACATTTTTAGTAACACTTTAGTAAGTAAGACTTATCTATGTTTATATATGCATATGCATATGTATATTTATATATGTAGATAGATATGTAGATAAACTACACATCTAAATGTACACATGCATATATAAGCATATTTAAGTATTATTTAATAATATTATTCAGCATTCTTAAATATAATTCTATTATTATTCTTGAGAATCATGTTAGAATAGTTAACATTTAACATCTTTGTTCCTTCTATGCATAGACATAGGTACACAGTAATGTTGTTTATCAACTATTGTGGGTAATTAGATGAAATGACATGCTTTGTGAACGAGCAATTAAACTTTTTGGACAGTGAAATATTTGTTATTTACTGAGTGTGGTTCTAAAAATATCTGCTGAGGTGCTTTTATAGGCAAGTCAATCTTCTCGTTATTTCTTTTAGGATAGCTTCCATGGTGTGTCGTGAATGTTATAACAACCCCCCTTTTCACAATTTATCATGAGAAAAAAATCCAAAAACATTACAATAGTACATGTACAAAGGTGTTTATTGCAGTATTGATTACTGTGTTTACTGCAGTAATGAACATTTCAAACCACCTAGATGCTCAACAACAGAGAGAAATAATTATGACTTATATCAAATAAACATACAACCTCTACAATATTTTCAAAATACTAATTTAAAAACTGGATGGCAACTGGGAAAAGAAAGATGTTGATATAACTATCTAGAATGAAAAGCACAATGTAAAAGTGAATTTTTGTTACATTATGCATGCATAGTCAAAAACTACACAATGGCAGGGGAAGTAGCACATTCATTACCACTGGTTGGTTTTTACAGATTTTATCTCTGTAATTCTTAGTCTATGATAGACACAAAACTATTTAAGGATATCAGGGCATTCATTACTGTAGTCTTTTATGACACTATTATGACATTTCTTTAGCATGCTTTGGAACCAAATACTCTCTGTGTCACTGCAATTTTTTCTTCAAATGCAACTGCAATACGTGCAGTTGTACTTTTCTCTTCCAGCTCTAGCATTTATGCTGAACAGCAGATCCCTCCTGCTTTGGGAATTCCAACCAATCGCTGCCCCATCTCCCCACCCCCACCCCCCACCCATTGAGATTTCAAAGTATCTGCTAAAAGTAGCTTCCCTCAACACATGCTTGGTACCAGTGTTACTTTTCTATTGCTGCATGACAAATTTCATTTTAAAACAACACAAATTTATCATCTCACAACTCCCCAAGGTCAGGTGTCTGGGCCTGGGTTAGCTGGGCCTCTGCAAGGGCTCATTGGACTGCAGTCGAGGTGTCTGCTCTTGCTGCCATCTCACCTGAGGTTCAGGATCTCCTCCCAAGCTCATTCACATTGCTGAAATAATTTTGTTCTTTGAAGTTTGTATTGGGTCATTCTCACATTACTATAAAGAAATACCTGAGGATGGGTAATTATAAGGAAAGGGGTTTAATCGACTCATCGTTCTGCAGGCTGTACAGGAAGCATGGTGCCAGAATCGGCTTGGCTTTTGGTGAGGCCTCAGGAAGCTTACAATCCTAGCAGAAGGTGAAGGGGGAACAGACGCGTCACATGGCTAGAGCAGGATCAAGAGAGAGAGGAGGGAGGTGCCACACACTTAAATGACCAGATCTTATAAGAACTCACTATCCTGAGGAGAGTACCAAGGGAGATGGTGCTAAATAATTCATGAGAAACCCACCCTCATGATCCAGTCACCTCCTACCAGGCCCCACCTCCAATATTCAGAATTCCATTTCATGTCCAAACTGTACCACAGTTACAGGACTAAAGTCCTACTTTCTTGTCAGTGTGGGGGTTGTTTTTAGCTCCTACAGGACCCACAAGGCCCTCTTTTTGCTCTTAAAGTTCAGCAGGAGAATTTCTTTCTAGTCCTCTGTCACCTTGTCTTATATAATATAATGTCAACATGAGAGGGACTATGCCACCGCCTGGCTCCTATAAGGTAACCTAATCATCAGATCCGCTGAAGGGGAGGGGATTAAACGTGGCATGTACACCAGTAGGTGGAAACCTCGACAGCCATCTCAGAATTCTGCTTACCACTAGAATTTATTTTATTTCTTTATGCTATACATAGCATAAAGAAATTAAGAAATTTCTGTTTCTAAGAAAAAGAAATAAATTATTATGTCAGATATAAAATATATAAATCAGAAAATTATGTATAGTCCCTTGGTTTCAACAGAGCAAAGAGGATGAGAAAGGTAGAATATTCTTTTATGCAGAGGGGCAACATCTTTCTATGATTTGTGGGAAGGACAGCATTGCCTCAGTGAAAAAGTAAGTAATGACATATTTCACTTTCACGTAGGATTTTTTTAATTAATGTCATTAAATTGATAAAGAGCTGGTATCTTATTCAGGAATGAATTGTTATTCTCTCTCCTCAATAATCTGGTCTGTAATCTGCTTGCATTTCCTCACAGGTGAGTGTTTTTGTTCAGGTATATCTCTAGGGTAGCCTCTGCAAAATATGGCAGATGTTACAGTAATTGAGAGTGCACCTAAACTAAAATGCATTCTGTCTCCCTTCAGCTCTACTCTATACATGATTGTGTGAATGTTTATACGATAGCCTATGTAGTTTGAAAGCATGCCAAGTTTGTTAGGACCACGGGTACACTCATCAAAGAGGCAGCTCTCTACTTTCTTCCGTTGAATAAATGAAGTCAGGAAAATGGATAAGTTAGCTGCTTTTCTGACGCTTCATGACTAATCAGTGATGTAACCAGGATTGTGACTCATCTTCTGATTATCTGCCTGTGTGCGCACAGCCGGCATAAAAAGTGCGAGCACTATGGGACAAGCTTGAGTTGCAAAGGCAAGCTGAAAAAAACCTCTCTCTTAATTCCCCAAATAGCATCTCTTTGGAGAAACCAGGTAATACCACAGACTTGTCTTCAATGAATTTACTGCATCTTTAGACACAAACACAGACACGTGGATGTTTAATGTTCCCAGCTGTCAAATTTACTGAGTTGATATCCATTTAGGAACATAGCTTAGCACATCCATTCTAGAAGTGATTGAACAGTTTTTCCTAGCTGATCTCTTTCAAAGACAGCCATCCACATCTCTGCACCCCGTAAGCACTGCAACATCATCTCGGATAATTGCTTAACTCTCTATGGGTTTCTAACAAGCACCCTTCACACTGAAATACAGCCTTTTAAACCCTTTAAGCTCATCTCCCTGCTGCCTAACTCCCTGCCAGGACTGACTAGCACCAAATAAATATTCTTGGAAGTTATCATTTTCTTATTTACTTCTGCAATAGCACACAAAATTTTCCTTGTTTAGCAGGTGTTCCTGTTCTCCAAGTTCAAGTCAAAGCAGAATTTCTCGGATAAAGGGAAAAACAAATTTCCTTCTAGGAGTTAATCAATACCTTTTCAAAATATTTCTCTTGCAGTGTGACTGGTGTTCATCTTTTCCTTTCCATTTCATTCCCATTGTTTTTTTAATGCTGTTAATTTTAGATGGTAGATACTTGTGCCTTGGTTTCTTTTTTAAAAAATTTCTCGGCCGGGTGCGGTGGCTCACGCCTGTAATTCCAGCACTTTGGGAGGCTGAGGCAGGTGGATCATGAGGTCACGAGATCGAGACCATCCTGGCTAACACAGTGAAACCCCATCTCTACTAAAAATACAAAAAATTAGCCGGGAGTGGTGGCGGGCGCCTGTAGTCCCGGCTACTCAGGAGGCTGAGTCAGGAGAATGGCATGAACCCGGCAGGCAGAGCTTGCAGTGAGCCGAGATCGCGTCCCTGCACTCCAGCCTGGGTGACAGAGCGAGACTCCATCTCAAAAAAAAAAAAGAATAATTTCTCACATTTTTTTCATTCCTTCTAGTAAGTTTTTTCAAATAGTCTCACAAAGAATGTCTACTATCTTGGCATATAATAATAGGTCTAGAGACATCAGACCTTCACTGTTTGCTTCCAAACATATCCGAAGTAATAGACAAACTTTGTTATCCTGTCTTAGTCCATTCAGACTGCTATAACAGAATATCATAGGCAGGGTGACTTACAAACAACAGAAATTTATTTTTCACAGTTCTGAAGGCTGAGAAGTCCAAGAACAAGGTGTTGGTTGATTCAGTGTCTGGAGAGGGACTGCTTCCTGGTTCACAAGCATCTGTCTTCTCACTGTGTCCTCACACAGAGTAAGGGCTGAGAGACCTCCCTGGGGCCTCTGTTATAAGGTCACTAATTCCATTCATGAGGGCTCCACCCTCATGACCTAATCACCTCCCAAAGGCCCCACCCCCTATGACCGTCACACTGCCAATTAGGTATCAACATATGAATTTTAGCGGGGAGCATAAATGTTTAGACTATATAGTGTATCTCATTCCATCTGAACATTAAATATGTTAGTCTGGGGTAATTTTTACAGGTTGCTTCAATTGGAGTAAGAAAAGACAACGTTTTGTTGATGACAGCACTGTAACCCAGCCCTGCCCCTCTCTGTCTGCTCCTCTTCCTTGTGACCCTGTGGTCCCTCCTCAAGGGAGCCTGTGCTGAACTTTAGAGTTTATAGTCCCTCATGCTCAGAAATTGCCAAGGCCTATAAAACATGCAGACTTTCCAATAGTATTTTTTTTTTTTTTTGCCTCATGATATAAGAATAATAGTTTCCTCCACTACTCACAAAACACTCTGTTGCAAGAATCTCCATATAAGAACTGCTTATGTATCACTCCTCCCAGGTAAGATACTTGAATTTAACTGGGATTCTAGAAGAAAAACTAAATCCCCAGAAACCCATCTATTTTGGGGATGTCAGGCTGAAAAAATAGGTGACATCTGGGGAAGAAAGACAGGTCACTACAGCGATCCTCAAGTCACTGTATAAATTACAAAAATTACTTTACAAATTACATTTAGGTTTTCAAAGCACTTTCATATGAATTTGTGCATTTTGGACAGACAATAATTTGTAGTGGTAAGTAAAGGAGCTTTTAGAATCACTTTTACTTACATAGTACAGAAAGGCTAAATGATTAAGCAAGATGGGCCAGCTAGTTATTGGAATTAGGGCTAAAATAAAACTACGGGTCCTGACACCATAAAGCCTGGACTCAGGTAGATTATGAGAGGGCAGCTCAAATCTCACAAGTAGTAGGAAAATTTAAACCAAAGAGAGGCCTTGGTTTGAATTGTTTATTCATTTGAACCTTGTAGATAATAAAAAGGTCCAGGAGTTCTATTTCCAAATAACAAACCATCATTATTTTCTTCAAGTATGTTGTGCAACCTCCAACTATATCATGTGAGTTCATCAAGAAAGTATTTACATTAACATCTCCATGGTCTCTTTGACCCTCTTGCAGGTGTGAGTGAAGTGCTTGGCTCTGCGAGATGGTCCTGGAATATCTTCACCACTCTTCACAATTACGTCCTCTTGCATTCCCACTGATCCTTCAGAATTGTGTGGCCTTTCAACTTTCTGAAAGGCCTTCACTGTCTCTTAATTCAAATTCTCCACATGTAAATACAAGTCAGATCACCTTACAATTTAATCTTTAAGCAAAACTGTAAATCATCATTTCCCGCGACATTACAATTGTTGGGGGAAAGGTGTTTGGTGTCACATCTAATGGCTTGAAAACTCGGAGCATCTCTGGACACAGTCAATATCCAGGTCTCAAATATGCATTTACTGTGTTTATTATAATGACTGCCTTTGTATTCACTGCAATCATTTTCTACTGTTTCTTCCTTTGTGTAATCATTTCTTCCCTTCCCCTCCATTGTATTTTTTTAGAGTAATTCTATATTCTGTTTTTGAATACACACTTCTCTTTCTTTTAAAATAATTTGTTGTGTATATTTCAGTTTTACTACCTGATGTAACATTAGGATTGCAGTGCTTACTCTCTCTCTCTCTCTGTATATGTGTATATATACATATATACATATACATATATATACATATCTATATATATATATCTGTGTATATATACATATATACAAATCTGTGTATATATGTATATGTACACAGACTGAGAGATAGTACAATGATTACTATAGTGAGGCAGTTTAACCTATCTATCATCTCACATAGTTGCTTTTTTGTGTGTAATAAGAACACCTGAAATCTACGTATTTAACACAAATTCCTAATACAATATAAAAATTCCTAAAGAAATTAAAAATGGAGCTGTGTTATGACCCAGCAATCCCTCTTCTGGGTCTACATCCAAAGAAAATGAAATCACTACCTTGTAAAGATCTCTGCACCCCCATGTACATTGCAGCGTTATTCACAATAGCTAGGCTATGGAAACAACCCAGGTGTTCGCCAACCAATGGACAAATGGATAAAAAACAGTGGTGTATATATGCGTGTGGGTGTGTGTGTGTGTAGTGGAATATTATTCAGCCTTAAAAAAGGAGACAGTCCTGCCTTTAGCCACAACATGGATGGAGCTGGGGACATCAAGTGAAATAAGCCAGACACATATACACATCTAAAAAAAATGGAGCACCTGTTTTCCTAACTTGTCTCTTAGCTAAAAATTCTTCAGCAGTCTTCACTGCTTGGAAAATAAAGCCCTCAATACTTAGCTTCTCGTTAGATAGAGGTGATTCTCACTATTCATTGTAGGTGTGTTTAAAAAGTCACCACAAACACTGAATTAGTGAATACTGAGCCATTGTTCCTAGGAGAAATATAGAGTTCGTTTCCTATGAACCTCTGGTAATAGCATTTTTGTTAACCAAATAATATATAACCTTGTTTTATGTGTGTTTCCCTGTACAGTTACCTTATTTTTTATATATTGATTCATTACCATTAAACTCATGGCTACCAACATGAAAACTATGCTTGAATGAAGCACCTAACACATATTTTCTTCATAGGGCACATTGTAGTCTCTTGTGCTGAGGATCACTGGAGAGCACTCAACACTACCAACACTCGGAAGCCATTCTAAACAGTACAACACCAAAAAAAGTACAAAAATGAAAAAACAAGGTGGCATTTAATAGACTGCTAAAAGGACACTTGTTTACAGCAGAGAGCTGAAAGGCGGCAGAGTGCCACATTGTTCCATGCCAATTGGAATGATGTGCAGAGGGGGACGGGGTTGAACATGTCCATGAAACATGGTGAAAGCGATGCAAGGGCATTGATCGTGGGGTTACAAATAAATATTTGGGACTAGGTGAATTTGCAAATATAGAATCCTTGAATAATGTGGATCAATGGAATTTGCATTATGCTGTGAACTTAATTCCACTGTCATACACACTAAAAAATAAGCCATGTTCTATCCAGAACAGAGGTTTGAGTAGTCCCAAGGCTCACCTTGTATTCTCCTAATCCTATAACTCTTTTTTACTTTATACCTTTGGTTTGAAACCACTCCTGTATTTGTTCCTTCACATAGCTTTCTGTGGTTAAAATCACTATCTCCTCTGCAAAAGCACTGAAGAGAAATCACCATTACAGAAGATGTCATATTCTCTTTCAGTTAAGGATTATTTTTATTCAGATATGACCCATCCACGCCTCACCTGTATCCTAGAAATTTAAGCTAAAGCTCCATGAAGGTAAGAACCTTCTCTCCCATTTCTTTACACCCTCAGTAGCGAGCCCAGAACCCAGCACATAGCAAGGGCTCGATAAATACTTACTAAACTGAATTCAACTGAATTTGATTTGAATCAGATTGACGTATATTGCTATTTCTTAGGTACCTCTATAAAAATCCCCTATCACTGATACGATTCTGTATGCCATGTACAAAAAAATTCTGTAAAAAATGGAGAAAAGCTTACAATAATCTCCACAGAGAACCAGAGGCAATAATGAGAAGGGTAAGAAGTAAAGTAAATGTGGAGGCAGCAACCTGGTTAGAGGGGTGCCACATGAATTATTTATTTATTTATTGAGTCGGATTTTTTGCTCTTGTCGCCTAGGCTGGAGTGCAATGACGTGATTTCAGCTCACTGCAACCTCAGCCTTCAGGTTCAAGTGATTCTCCTCCCTCAGCCTTCCAGGCATCTGGGATTACAGGAGCCAACCACCATGCCTGCCTAATATTTTTGTATTTTCAGTAGAGATGGGGTTTTACCATGTTGGCCAGGCTGGCCTCCATCTCCTGACCTTGGTGATCTGCCTGCCTCAGCCTCCCAAAGTGCTGGGATCACAGGTGTGAGCCACTGGACCTGGCCTGCTACGTGATTTAAATGGAAGCTGTGTCTGTGTAGCCAGCACAGCATTTTTATATTACATGTATCTGCGTGTCCTGATGCAAGTGTGAATTTGGGTGGGGAGTGACTCATGGCTATCCAGGGTGGACTAAGCCAGCTACTCTTGGCACTGTACAGGAGCCTGATAGGCTCTCCACCCGCATAATTCAAACAGATGGTAGAACACTAGAACACTTGTGTGCATCCAGAAACAAACCCAACTAGGTCAGGAGAGTATTCCAAATATTATCTTAATTATTTCAATGTAATTATAGCCAGTGTAATTTCTTACCAAAAGAAGTAATAAGCATACTCCTTCATTTATCTCAAACTATGCTTAAATAATAGCACTGGGTGAAATTGTTGTGTAAATTAAGTTAGTTATGCAATATCCCATTAAGGAATATCCTGGAAAGCTAGATTTAAAACAAGATATTGATTATATCTGCATCTAATTTGTGGGCTATGCTAGTGTCTCCTCAAGCTCATGGGGCGAGAGAGGGGTTTGGTTCACAAAGTTAGTAAATCATCTTTATCACCCTGGGAGTTCGTTGAATTACAGATTTCTCCAGCTCTGTCCACTCTGAGATTCTGATTCAGTAAAACTGAAGATTTTATATTTCTCTTTAATATTGAGCACAACTGAGTAAGCTACATTTTATTACTATTTTCATCTATGCATATATAATTTAAGATTTTTATTTCAAATGCATTTCTTCTTAAAGCATATAATGAAAAATAGAAGCATTAGGAGAGACATCATTTTTTGCTATCAACAAAAATGTCACCATCAGTGTATAGATTTTAATTAGATATTTTATCTACTTAATTTTAGTAGCATTCCTCAAGAGAAAATAGAAAATTTGCAAACTCTGTCTAACAAACCACATGTACGCAAATATGTCTTTAGTCTATCAGTCAGTTGATTATCTATTTAGCTACTTATCTCTGTCATCTATTGGCTTAAAATTTTATTCAGATTGCCTTTTCTATGATGCTTCCTAAATAACTACTATATACACCTATTTTACAAGTATTTGTGTTTCTTTTGTTGGTTGAATTTCTAAAATCAGAAAAATACCATTATCAATCCATCAATGTGGATTTCTTACCTCCATCACCATCCAACTTACAGTCATTCCTTTTAATTTTAAATACTCTGACTGGGCACAGTGGTGCATGCCTGTAGTCTTGGCTACTTAGGAGGCTGAGGCAGGAGGATCACTTGAGCCCAGGAATTCGAGGCTGCAGTGAGCTACGATGGCACCACTGCACTCCAGCCTGGGTGACAGAGCAAGAGTCCAGATCCAAAGATAATAAAAATAATACTTAAATTAATTGTAAAGGATGCTCAAATTTGGTGACCTTAACAGAAAAATAAATTTATCTTACAGTACATTTTAAAATACACATGCGCGCGCGCGCGCACACACACACACACACACACACACACACACACACACACACACACACGACAGCAGAAATTCCCTCAGCCACTTGAATAGACTAGTCTTAATATTGGTGTGATACTTATTTCTGTGGGTGATACAGGTTTAGAAGTGAATTTTCCCAGAAATGAAGACAAAGGAATGAGTAAAAAGTACATCAGAGGATATCTTTTCTATACTAACCTAGAGTCTCATGCCAAGAAGTATGTCCAGAGTAATTATAACTTCTGCTCAGATCACTCTTAATTGGCATTATTCAAATACAGAAAATTGAGTGAGAGTGTGACCTTGTTCACACTAGTGAACTTGTTCTCCAGAGAAGAAAACTGACAACAGGCTTTTTTGTCATCAAAGGGTGAAGAAATGTGACAATCCGGGAACTGGTTTTAGGGCCCCATCTGCTAAACCAGAGAGAAATCAAGATTTTACAGTTCTATAAATATTTGAGTGTATCCCATCATTTATGAACTGTGGCAGCTATCATAAAACGTCTCTGACTTTTGTTACAACTGCATATAAGGCCAGAAAATTGCATCTCGTGGTAAACCATAAAAACCTAAGTAAAAGCACCATTCCTTTCAGTATATTCTAAAAATATACAACCTTCCTGTCAGTACATGGCAGGGTAGTTACCATCCCAGGATGCCTGTTTCTTTCTCATGTTTTTATCTGATCTTACCCTGGTCTTTTCAAGCCCTTTTGTATTTCAGTATCTTTTTATGTTTCATAAATAACAGCTATTGCCATATAACAGCTGAAATAGATTTTACTTTGTCACAACACAGTGTAAGCAAGAGACACTTGGATGATGATAATGCTGCCTTGCAATAAGCCTTTATTTTTGACCTTATGTCTAATAGTTTAAAATGTGATTCTCATTTTTGTCTCTACTGAGTTTCTTTAGTATTATAAATAAGATCACTTAATTAAGAGGCAATCAGCACATTTACAAGGAGACACTACTCCTAAGAAACTATGTAGGCAAAATATATATAAAGCTGACTTGACAGTGAGATTAAAATGGTGATTAGTGGATTGCTTCATCTTCTTATTCCATATACTCTTGTTACTCTGACTTTTAAAAATGTATGATACGTGCGGTATTTTAACTCTTAAGTATGGTTGATTTTTCTGATGCCTTCAGAAACGTGGTAGCTGTGAGGGTCACACCACATTTCAAGGACGACAAACTATCCACATTGGCATCTTTGGACCAGGCAGAGGACGGTTTCTCTTACTACTAGACTGTGGTTTGACAGGCTGCAAAAGTTCACAAGGCAACAGATCCCAGGGCTCGAAGTCATTCGTCGAAATCCAAGAGCATACGCACACATTCCTGTTGCATTCTGAAATACACAGGATGCTCTGTGGATCATATTTTGGGGGATTAAGCTATAGGATTATCCTTGACTCTTATTTCTTACACACAGATGAATGCATGATTCTCAATGTTCAAATTCTACCTGAGCATTTACCCAAGTCAAATATTTCTCAGCTTATTTATTAATATGATTTCCAACCCGCTAAAATCTGCCCTTCCACTCCCATCTTCCTCCCTATAAATAAGCAGTTTTCATTTGCAGTCAACAAAGCCAGCCTCATACTTGGGATGGGAATGGGAATGTGAGGCAATATGAAGCCTATTTATTATTCATGAATGTAGCTCGGGCACACTCAGATTTGTGACAAACTGCCCTCTGTGCCTGTGCTCTCAGATATAAGTGGTGGGAGTAAAGTCATACCTTGGCCCTTCCTCTGTACTCTATACAGAGTCCAGCTCTGGCCTGGGAAAATACTTTCAGACAAAACGTCTGAGCAGAAGAAGAATGGACAGAACTCTGAGGACATTCTTGAGGCACTGGCAGAACCTCTGCAGGAAGACGAGAGCATTGCTGGTGTGGGCCTAGGGACCCCCACAACCCAGAACTGGCATTCCTTAATGCTACTACTGAAATTGTATTAATATTAACAGGTGTTAGAAAGCATTCTGAGCTTGAACCTTTAATGGCAATGAAAAGAGGCAATAAATATTTCTGACTGAGAAACCAGTGGCTTGGAACATCTGAAACAAAGCTTTCTGGATGCACTGACTTATGAAAACTGTATTCACTTGCTATATAACAGAACCCCAAACAAGAGAATTAGAACTGAGAGCCACAGCGATGGGAAGGACTTACCTTGATTCACAATGGTAGCCCATGAATTACAGTCTCATGAAACAGCCCTAAAAGTTTGGCCACTTGCTATAGCAAAGATGAGCTCCTTTAATATCTCAAATCCTTAATTTTCTCTTCTGTAAAATAGGCCCTTTGAGCTTCCCATACAGGCAATGTACTACGGGCAGAACTATGCTACTTGTGAAACATCTTGAACAACACCCCTCTCTCATGTTGTTGTAAGAATCAAAGTATATAAGGTAATGAAACTCTTAGCGAGTTCCTGAAGCAGAGTAAGTACTCAATAAAATGTAGCTCATGTTGGCATCACTATGTCGGTGAGCCTTGCATGTAGTAGCTGCTCAATACATCTTGGTCAAATTGAATTAAATTGAACAGAGACGTAGGGAGCTTTATGTAGGATTATTCTTCTACTCATTACAAACAGTCCGGCATGAGGACATTTCAGCTATATTAGCATAGGATTGAATTGAATGAATATGAAATAATGCCAAATGTGATACTGAGCACTGTCTGCTAGTTACCTTATGGAATTCTCTTTTAATACTGTAGTTAAGTGTTTTTTCCACTTTACTGATAAACACTAAATTTCAGAGAGGTGAATTTACTTGCTTGTGTTTACATAACTGAATGACAGAATCAGGGTTTGAATTCAGGTTACCTGGTTCCCAAACTAAAAGTCAAAAAGGTGTAGACAACGGCTGCCTGAAGAAACTGAAAGGTTACCACGTCAACATTCTATTTGTCTCAACAGAAAAATAGCATTATTCCGGCTGAGTAAAAAAGTGATAGACATCTTAATATACTACCTAAAACTTCCTATTTCTTAAAGTGTTATGGTTTGTGGGAAGTTCTGTTATTGGAAGTCAGTGGCTAGTAAGTTGTGCATGCTCTTCCCCTCTACAGGGAGTACTGATGGGGGTGGAACATCAGGACTACAACTACTACGACATGTTGTGTGTCCTGAGGAAAGAAGTTATCTCTCATCTGCTCCCACACTAACGAACAGAAGGACATTCCAGGAACATCCTGCTAGTGTCTTCTCTAGTTTGGTGAAGAAAAACAGAGTACTATCTGAGATCTTATTTGTTGTTGTTTTTGGTGCGTTGTTGTTTTTGCCCTTTCACCAGGAGACAGAACTAGAACCAATGAGTAGAAGTTACAAGGAAGTAGACTTAAATTCCATAAAATAAGCAGCTTTCCAACCATGAGAGCCATTGCTGAGTATCACCTGCTCTAGAAGGTATTTTATCATTTGGAAGGAAATTAAACAGAAGACTTGCAGGTTGCCTTTTGACTCTTAATTCTATGATTTGATGGCAGAAGGCAACCCTAAAGCAGATATTCTTGAACTGCTAACTCCTCATGACATTTTTTAAGGAAAATGAAGTCTCACCATTTTAAAGAAAATCAGAGAGGCACAGTATGAGAAAGAATTCATTCAATTATGCAACCCAGACATACTGAGACTCTTGTCTGTTTTGATCGAGGCAAATGTGTCTCCGTCCCTGTGAACCACACAGAACATCAGGATCTAGTTGTAGACAATGAATCTGGTAGAGTCAGACAACATATAAATATAAATGAAAGCTAAGACATTTCAAAACTGCAAGGTGGGGGTGAAATTTTAATCAAAGTAGACCCTGATGTATTTCTGTGCTCTTCTTCATTGTCCATGGTCCACCGTGCTTGTTAAATCTGAGTGCTGACAAGACCACGGTCTTGGGATAAACAGCCCTGAATTCCATCTCTGAGCTCCCCAAGGGTATCACAAAGCACAACCCCTTCTCTCTCTCTCAAGAGTTTATGATGGGCCTGATAGAATGACTATGGATTGAGAGAATTCATTTCCGAAGCAGGAAGTGAGACCAAGAGGAAGTTCAACAAAGCTGATGCATGTTGTGGTAACTAAATCCTCGTCTGCATTTAATCAAGGGGCACTGGTGAGTCACAACTGGGAGAGCAGGGCTCCCCATGCCAGTAATTAGCAGCAGAAGGCCACATCAAATGCCGCTCCGGTGCTCGACCTCCTACTCTCTATTGTTCCACAGACATTCTTAGACAGAGTGGAAGATGCAACATAGACAGTGTGTGCTTTTAAGTCCTTGTTTTCAAGCTACATGGCTTTTACAGAAATGTGTGCCTCAAAGCCACAAAGACAGCGAGTACAATAATATTTACCAAAAGCTCAGGGACCTTGCCAGATTTGGACCTGAGACATTGATGGCTGTCTGGAGCCTCCCACTCCAGCAGCTCTGTGTTTAGACCCACGGGAGATGATGTGCTTCTCTCTTGTCCATGCTGGCATCTTGCCTGGCTGAAGGGGCATCTCCCCTCGTGTGAGTTATCTCTCTCCCCAAGATCTCAAGGGGACTCCAAGGCAACTTTGCCTAGAGCTTTACACTTTGAAAGTCTGCCCCTGGAAAATGTTATCTTGCCGTGGCACATGGGCCTCTGTGGGAAGTGTTATTCTCTAAGGAAAGCAAATCATTCTTATTCATCATAGAATGCTGCCTAAAATACAAACTATAACGTGCAGTGTAGGAAGATTACTGTACATGAAGTTATAGAGTAAAAGTAAAAGTTAACATTCCAAAACTACAAACAGAAAACTGTATCTAGATTTACTTTCCTAAAGGAATATAAATGGAATAGAGGCTAGAAAAACTGTGATGTTAATTTTCAGGCCATTTCCTTATTCTATGAATTAAAATCTATAAGTAACATCAATTTATACTGAACAAGTTTGGAGATTCAGAATAACATGATTTTGCAAATAGCTCATTATCATGTTCTTACTCAAACTGAAGCTACATGCCACTTTTGAATTCAGTCACAAATTTAACATTATTTTTTTCATTACTTCATTTGGGATTTGAAATTTGAATCACTAAAACATTAAAATATATTTTAAATGTAAATACCACGTCATATTTTCTTTAATTTTCCATATTCATTTGGTATCTAAGTGGTTTCCTATAATCAGAAGAAGCCATCATTGTTGGCTTTGTTAAATTGTTTATTTTATTCTCTATTTCCTAATATTAATAGTCAATACATAACATCCATTAAATGTTCATCCCAGAGAGCAAGATATGAGGGTCTGGGCTGAGGGAGGTTTTTCTCTTTTCCGCTTGTAACAAAATGCATCCCTTTGTGATCAATAGAAAAGTGTCTGCAACAATTCTAAAAGTCAATTATCTATTGAAATCAAATGTGAGGTTAATGGTTTCTTAAAATGTTTACTGACAGTTCACCGAGAACCCACCAGCTTAATGAGCAGCTTTTGTTCACAATTTAAGGCAGCTGTCCTGTTCTGCTCAGGGGACATTCGGTCCTAGAAGAGAAGTGTTAATGTAGATCACAAGTAAAGGACGCCATAGACCTTTCTGCATCACTTGTTCTTTTAACAGAAGGGATCTGTGGGTAAAGAAAGTTGTTCTGAACAAGTTTCTAATCAATATTAGAAAGACGACAACTTTTGGAAGACAGTGTGGTGATTCCTCAAGGATCTAGAACTAGAAATACCATTTGACCCAGTGATTCCATTACTGGATATATACCCAAAGGATTATAAATCATGCTACTATAAAGACACATGCACACACATGTTTATTGCGGCACTATTCACAATAGCAAAGACTTGGAACCAACCCAAATGTCCATCAATGATAGACTGGATTAAGAAAATGTGGCACATAAACACCATGGAATTCTATGCAGCCGTAAAAAAGTACGAGTTCATGTCCTTGGCAGGGACATGGATGAAGCTGGAAACCATCATTCTAAGCAAACTATCACAAGGACAGAAAACCAAACACTGCGTGTTCTCATTCGTAGGTGGGAGTTGAACAATGAGAACACATGGATGCAGGGCAGGGAACATCACACACCGGGGCCTATCAGGGGGTGGGGGACTGGGGGAGGGATAGCATTAGGAGAAATACCTAATGCAAATGACGAGTTGCTGGGTGCAGCAAACCAACATGGCACATGTATACCTATGTAACAAACTTGCACGTTGTGCACCTGTACCCTAGAACTTAAAGTATAATTAAAAAAAAGAAAGAAAGATAGCAACTTTTCTACTCTATGAACTTTTCCTAAGCTCCTTTACATTTAGGTGTTTGCACAGCTATTTGTTTTTCCTAGTTACATTATTTCTTATGGGGATCAACATGTTGGCTTGGGGAAAGCAACCTGATCATGTAATTGCATCCAGAACAAAGACTCCTAGGACCCACTAGGCTGGCATGAGTTTACAGCATCCTATTTACACTACCTATAGGAAGACCACCTAACTTCAAAGCAAAATAGAGAATGTTTTTCTTTAGGTATGTTTTTCAAAACAAGACTTGGTGTATCCACAGAAATTAGAGATAGAGAGGGAATATGAAAAAGTTTCCTTTGCTTGTTCCAATTTTTTCTTTACTTTTAGTTCCTTTTTTTCATTGCAGGCTTAAATAACACACACAATGGGAAATGGTCCTGCTCTCCCACGAAACTATAAACACTCTGCAAACACTAGAACAAAATGGAAAGGAAAGAAAAGAATATAAAAGGAAAGGGTTTTAGGTTAAGGCATTGACTCTGCTGTCTTAGAAAAAATCGTTTCCTTTCCACAAACTTCTGTTCTTATCCATCATGCTTTCGGTGGCCTTTCCTGTTCTTCATAACATGCAAGTGAAGAATCACTGGGTGACAGTGAGCACCATTAACCTAATGACTTGGAGGGCTTTGCCCTGGGCCATGATTTACATTCTTATGTTCTCAAGACTTAATTTGGTTTAGCCATGACTTAATTTCTTTAGGGGATTGAGCCCAGGGGCCTCTAATAATTTCCATGTCTATAGTACCATGTTGTTGGTAAATCACACTCAGGAATAATCGACAGAGCCACACTCTACTTAGTTTATTAATAAAACTTTACTAAATACCACTGGCAATTTTATTCCGTAACCACTCCTTATAACGGGTGCTTCCTATACTTAATACTCAGATTCAGCATTGCAATATAAAATAAATAAATAGCTAAGAACAGTTTGACCATCTCATTTTTGTGTTGGGGGCACAGCCTAAGAATCAAACTTCCCATTTGTAAACATTTCCACTTGGAAGTATCCCCTAGAAGAGTTTGTTGTATGCCACTAACATACCGACAGTAATAATGCATGGGTTTCATTCTCTATTACACTGTTTAAGTTAAACTTTTCTTTGTATCATCAGTGCTTTCGCCTGAGACTAAATGATTCCCAATCTGCATTCCCTTAGACGATGCACAGATCATTTGAGAATGGCTTTCCCACTCTGACAAGCTTGCAATTTTATTTAAACAAATTCTTTTCCCCAGATTCCCTACAGAACAGCTATTGTACCCTTTTGTTGATTGTAGTGGACATACTGCAGATCTCCAATTACCTCCCCATGGACCACCCACCACAAGAAGGTTTTGTCTTGCCAGCACAGAAGCACTGGCAGCCTCTTGCCTCCTGGAGACTGGAGCGAGGCCTTTGTCTCAGCCCTGTCTCCAAGTTTAACAGACTCCACTGGCCCCGCATCTGTGCTTGTCCTGACATAGAACAACCTAATCAATTATGCCAAACCACTTTGGAGTAAATACATTGTCTAACAGAATAATAATTAGGTGGTAAAAAGAAAACATGATAATGTTCTTTTGGATAGGAGGTTGACAGCTTCCAGACAAATGTAAGAGATTTGTGATGTGAAAATGTAGCAATGGGGCAAGAGATTTGCTATCGAAAAGAAACAACTAAGTACAATGGGACAAATGGGCGCCAAGTATTCTCACGAATCTCTGAACATTTACAGTCAAAATCTTCCATTTTCCACTTCTTTTTTTAGTCTTCTGAAGTAGATAATTTCGTTAGTAAAATTCCTTATTAATGATACAGCATTTGAAAGAGCTATTTGTATTATGAAATCTGATGTAACTTACATCAAGATAAATCACTGGTCGAAAATTAACGCATTGTTTTGCATAAGCAACGTAGGTTGTGATTCTTTGAATTCTTTTCCCAGGGAACTTTGGTTTACAAGTGTGATCTCTGGAATGAGGTATTACCTTGTATTCTAATTTTTTTCTTGATGCTTTTCCAACATAAATAATAATCGTTCTTTAAATTTCAATAATCAAATGCTACTTCAATTGGTATACAAACTATTTTGAAAATATACCCCTAAAGTTATAGTCACCACTTACCATAAACTTATAACTCAAATTTTGAAAACTAAACACTCTCTAAAATTATGTGAGTTAATACAATAGCAGAATAAACACTAGAAGAATTAAATCTACTCTCTTTTAAGTCTTTCCTCACTAACCTAAGACTAAATTGATACATAGACTGCAACAAAAATATTAATGGCTTTATAAAAATGAAGAGCAGAGAATCATAACTAAAGATAACATAAAATGTTTTGGACAACTTCAACCATTCCTACTTGTCTTCATCACTTCAAGACCCAGTTTTATTGCTTAATAATTGGATAATTTTGAATTACATACCATAATTAAGGTGGCAAATATTAGATTATTAAATTCACACTCTAAGTTACTTATGCATTATAACTAGTCATTACTGTCATGCTCAATAGTAACAAAATGATACTCTAATAACCTTCTATCTACTTCCTTGATTCGAGAAGTTCACACCCAACACACACACACACACAGAACACACATACATACCATACACACACATCACACACAAAATGTCATCACATTCCACAATCAGGACTGCATTTCATATTAATGAGGTGTTTTTTTGTTTTTGTTTTTTTGTGTGTGTTGCAGAGTTTGGAGACGTTTATTGTAGGACAATTAAAAAGCAGGAGTTTTGTAGTTTGGAAGAAACTGGTGGGGCAATAGTGTGCATGCACAAACACATACACATCCAGTTCTACTGTCTGGTTCTGTGTTTTTAATCACCTCTTGGGGAACCATTTAAAATACCTTCTTACCCATGCTTTATGTACAACTGAAGTATAACAAACATGGAAATGTACATAAATCATAACTCTACAGATGAGTGAAATATCACAAAGTAAACACATCTTGCAGCCAGCAGCCAGGCAAAGAATAGAACATACTCAGAAATTCTCCTTAAGCCTCCTCACTCAATATTTTCCCCAACAGTAACCACTATCCTGAGTTGTAACACCATAAATTACTTTTGCCTATTTTACGAACTTTACTTAAATGGAATAATTCATTATGTATACTTTTCTCTGGTCTCTTTTGCTCAGTAGGACACTTGGGGGATGCAACATGTTGTTGCATATAACAGTAAGTCTTCTTTTGGAATGCTCTGTAGTGCTCCATTGCATTAGTATACGGTAATTTTTTAATCTGTTCTAATTTTGAGTTGTTTTCATTTTGAGCTAATCAGAATATTGCTGCTGTGAGATATTATATAAATGTCTTTTTGGTGAAGATACACAGGATATATATGTAGGAGTAGAATTGCTGAATTGTATGGCATTTATATTCACTTTTAGTAGATATTGCCAACTTTTTTCCAAAGTGCATATGCCAATTTATACTTCTCTTTTCAATTCATGAGAGTTCCCATTGCTCCATATCCTCACCAGCATTGGTATTAACGAATTTCGCATTTTAGCCATTCTGACGTTTTGTGTTAGAATCACATTGAGTTTTGAATTTCTATTTCCTGTAAAGCTAATAAAATTGAGATTTTAAAAATACATTTATCAGCAAGTAAAATTGCCTCTTCAGGTGTTTTGCCTATTGTGCTATTGGGTTGAATGTCTTTTTCCTGTTGACTTGTAGGAATTTTTGTTCTATTCAGAATATGAATCCTTTATTGAGTATAAGCATTTCAAATATATTTTCCCTCTTTACAGCTTGAATTTTCATTCTTTTAATAGTGTCTTTGAAAAAAATTAATTTTAAAGTTGTCCAATGTCTCATTTATTCAGTTCAGGATTAAATTCTTTTGTGTCCTGTTTGCCAAATTCTTGCTAACCAGGCATCATGGAGATACAATTTTACCTTTTTAAAAATCTATTATATTTAGATCTAGTATTTGGAAATAGTTTTTGTACTTGGTATAAGAGTCAAAATTCATCTTTTTTCCTATGCGATGACTAATTGACTCAGCATTAATTTTGTAAAGATGATTCCTTCCCTAATACATACTACAGTTTCACTTTTATCATAAACCTCGTGACTTGGCATGCATGGGTCTGTGTCAGGGACTTTTTTTTTTTTTAATTTTTATTTTTTGAGATGGAGTTTTGCTCTGTCACCCAGGCTGGAGTACAGTAGTGTGATCTCAGCTCACTGCAACCTCCGCCTCCCGAGTTCAAGTGATTCTTCTGCCTCAGCCTCCCAAGTAGCTGGGACTATAGGTACGTGCCACCATTCTTGGCTAATTTTTGTAGTTTTAGTAGAGACAGGCTTTCACCATGTTGGCCAGGCTGGTCTCGAACTCCTGACCTCAGGTGATCCACCCACCTCGGCCTCCCAAAGTGTGGATTACAGGCGTGAGGCACCATGCCTGGCCAGGGACTTCTATTCTGTTTCATTGCCTATTTGTATGTCCCTCAACCAATGCAACAGTTTTCATTATTGCAACAATTTAACATGACTTCATATTTGTCAGTCTTCTAGCTTTATATTTTTTATTCAAGATTGTCTTGGTTATTCTTAATCCTTTTCATTTATTTGTACATTTAGAATGAGCATTTTAACTTATACTTATTGTGCTATTGGGTTAAATGTCTTTTTCACAAATATTGAAAGCCTTGCATTGCATTGAAAGCCTTTCTACATCAATGTAGAAATATAATATGATGTAGAAATTTTTTCAATAATGTTTTGAAATGATTCCTGTGAAAGTTCTGCACTTATTTATTCTTTTTAGCTTAAATATTTGACATTTTCCATATTATTGTAAGTTATATTTCTAAAGTTTCACTTTCTATTATTTATGCTGGTATATAGAAATGTTACTGTTTTTTCTACATTCACCTTTTATTATCTGATCTTGCTAAATTCACTTATCAATTTTGCCAGTACATTTGTAGATTCAAAGTATACAATCATGTCATTTTTACTTCCTTTCCTTTCTTTCATTTTTCCTTATTATACTCACTACGACCTCTAGTAAAATATGAATAGTAGTAATGGTGAATATCCTTGTCATATTCCTGAACTCTAGGGAAACATTTTGCTATTTCACTATTAAGCGTTATTCTCCATGCGGGTTTATTGTTGATACATCCTTCAGATGAGAAAGGGTTTTTTCTATCTCTAGTTTCCCAAAGTTATTACCATGAATGGGTGTTAAACTTAATCATTTATTCTCGATCTATTTTAATGATCATATGAATTTTCTTTTTTCTGTTGATGTGATAAATTATAATAATATTCAAATATTAAGCCAAACTTGACTTCCTGGAAAGAAAAAGGAAGCCTAAATTGGTCATGATGTATTGTAATTGTTATGTATCTTTGCATTTGATTTTCTATCATCTTGTTTAAGATTTTTGTACATAGGATCATGAGAGAGATTAGCCTGTGATTTTTCTTTATTATAATGCCCTTTTTGGTTTTCATATCGAGGTTATGCTGGCCTCATAAAATGTTTTGAGAAGGAACACTTTTGAATGTTTTGAGAATTAGCTGTTGAAGCAGTCTGAGCTTGGATTCTGCTTTGTGGGAAGGTCTTTAATCAAATTTTTAATCCTTTAATTGATCCACATTCTCTCTTTTTTGTTACTTTTGGAAGTTTACTTCTTATCTAGGAATTTTCCATTTTCTTCTAAATTTGTCAAACTATTAATATTAAAATTGTTCATGTTATGTTTGGTTTGAAATGTTTTCATTTTGTGGAAATTTATCCTTTGACGCACAGGTTATTTAAAATTTATTGCTTTTTTTCCAAACTGCTGGGCATTTTGTAAATACTTTTGGTTACTGATTTCTAGTGTGCCTCCACCATGATCAGAAAATATATCCTGAATGGTTTTTGTCCTTTGAAATGCACCAAAGCTGGCAATATCACACTGCCAGAATGTAATCATTCTGGGTGAAAGCCATATAATCTTGAAAACTTGATTTTTTAAAAATGTATTTTACTTGGATCAGTTTGTTAATCATGTTGTTGAGATCTTCTGCATTAGCTATTGGTGAAATTGTTTGAAAGTCTCCCACTACCATTGTGATTTTTCTCTATTTTTTTATTCTGTCAATATTTGCCCTATATATTTTGAAATATTATTGGATGCATACAGATTTAGACTTGTTATGTCCTCCTGATAAATTGTTGTTTTTATCAATAGGAATTCTACTTTCTCTCCAGGAAAGCTTCTTGTCTTAATATCTAATTCATCTACTGTTAGGACAGCTACACCAGCTTACATTTGGTTGATGTTCAAATATTTTTAAAAATCTTAATATTACACAAACACTTTGCCATTTAAGTCCTATTAGAAGGAATGATTGTTGAAAATGTCCTTAACTCTGATATATTTAAAATATGTTTGATGAAATGCAAGGTCTCATGTATAAATACCAGGCTAAGTACCTAGCCAATAGTACATCATAGTGTCAAGTGCTGTAACAAAACCAAAAACGTAATGCGGGAAGACACTGGAGAGAACTGAAAAGAGAATTTGAATAAATATATTTTCCTGGGGGGGAAAAAAGCTAAAAAAGAGAGAGATGTAAAAAGTTCATGTGAGTAGAGAAGATGATCACAGCTAGAAAAACGAATGTGTACTGGATCACGGGGGCCGACATCGTGTAGGCTGGAAATTGACTAGGCGTTTGTTTAATGTGTATTAAAACACAGTCTAATTATATTTCTTCCTTCTCATAGTCAACACCACCACAGACAGCACTACAATGAACCTGCACACTCATCCCTTTATGAACCTGCTTCACAATTTGGCATATACACTTTGGTATACAGTATATTTAAATTTGATTTGACTACTACTGAATGCTATGCAAAAGGACATTGGCACTGAATACGGTGTTGTTACCCTCACATCCCTTCTACCACTAGCATTATCCTGCTTTCTGATTGTTGACGTCCTAACAGGTTTAAAGTAATCTCACTGTTTTAACATGCATATGTCTAATGGCAGAAGAATTTGTGTATATCTTTATGCACTTTCTTGGTTTTGTTGTTTCTTCTTCTCCCTGTTCCTATATTTTTCCTATTTTCTCATTAAGCCTTTCTTTCTTTTTCTTGTTGGTTTATAGGAATCCTTTATATAATCTAGATATTTGTTCTTTGTTGATTCTAAATATTGAAAAGACTCTTCCTAAATCTCTCATTTTTCTGTTGTCTTTGTACATGGCATGATTTGTGAACTGCAATTCTTACCTTCATGTAATTAAATTCATTAATTTACAAGGAAGATACAAAAATTATAAAATCTATGCCTCAAATAATACATTCCTATGGCAGAAACTAAGGAAGATCAAAGAGAAATCCATTTAAAATAGCATATATAACACACAGCTTTCTGGTTTAGATTAATCCAGTGGAAACAAATAAGGGAGTATATAAAAAACATAGCCCAATCAGCAATTATATCTTATGGATGTATCAAAATTTATGTCCCAATAATATATAATATTTCTTCTTTTTAATTGCATATCAAATATTCATAATTGACTAGATACTATGTCAGAAAGGAAAATCTCAAATTTCATAAAGTATAATTTAAAAAAATTATCTATTCAAAGAAAGCAAAAATTAAAAAAAGAAAAAAGAAAAATAAAAAGTCTTCAACTTAGAAATTTAAATACAAACAGGTTTCTAATAAGTAAATCTTAGAAGAAAAGGGTTAAACAAGCCAAAATTTCAGAATTTTTAGATCTAATGAAAACTACATATAAGAATCTATGGGACCTAAAATATAAGGAGAAAAAGTAGGTGAAAAAGACAAACACACAGCCTACAAAAAATATACACACATTTATAATAAGAGAAATACAAACTATAACTACTATTTCTCACTTTCCAGACAAGCCAAAATTCAAACCCTTGACACTCCATTGGTGAGGACAAGTGAAACAGATATTTACATTTATTACTGATGGCAGTGCTAAATGGTGCAACCCATATGAAGAAGAAATTTGGCAAAACAGTATTCAGATTTCTCCTTTGATTCAGAAATCCCCATTTGACAGACATACCTGCTAGTACATTTCTGAAAACATGAAACATCATATTCACAAGGGTTATTCATTGTCACAGTAAAACATCAGAACCAGCCTAAATGCTCACTAATAGTGAACTGCTTGAATAAGCCAATGAAATATTATGTGGACATGAAATGAATGAGGAAGACCTCTATGAAGTTCACTATTGCGCATTTATGTTGCTCTACGAAGGAAATAGATTGATTTTTTACAACATACTATCAAGATCAAAATTGTGTATATAGTAAGCTACTTTTTTGTGGAACAAAAATAATTATTTTTTCCATTTTTTTAAAAGAAATGCAGAAAGGATAGATGAAAATTTAATAAAAATGTTTGCCTCTAGGTGATGGATGGTAATGGTGTGGAAGGACTGAAGAGGGAAACAAACTTTCTAAGGATACTTTGTAATATATTTTTAGCTTTTGAACCATAGAGGTTTATTTTTCATGTTAAAAATATTAAATAAAAAGAACATAAAAAGCAAATCTTAAAATGGAATATCAACAGAAAATAAATGAACCTATCAGATTGATAAGATAAATACAAGGAAAAATAATTGACTCAGATAACATTTGAACCCGTTATTTTGCATGCAGCTAGTGAGATACGTTATGAGGACAAAAAGAGCTTCAAAGAAAATTGGAATTTTACTTCATTAGATATATTGTTGGTAGTGATACTGATATAATAATTATAAAACTGTTTTGATAAAGTTAAATTCAACACATATTTCTTACTGTAAAAGGGAGATTAAAATAGTAAAACGTAATATGAGAAAGGTGAAGAGAGCCTAGCGATGTTGAATTTGAATTAGAAATATCAGAATGAACTCAAGATTTTTAAAAAACCCTATTTTCTAGTTTTGACCATTGAAATGTAACCAATAATACTCCAGCACCAGTAAGCACACTGGACACTCAGTTCTTGCTTTCAAAATACCATCCTGTGCTTAAGGGACCAGGTCTTTTTGAAGGATGGCTAATTCCAGGAAAAGTACCAGGTGAGACTGAAGAGAGTGCTCAGATTAATGGGGACATGTCAGAAATGGCACAGGAACCAGCTTGAAGTGATTCCCACTGGCCAAATTTGTGACAGCTGAGCAAGATGAGAAACATAACAGATGATAACACACTAAATTACAGATATTTGCATGGTGTATAGCAGTACCAAAAATGAGAAGTGGTAAGAGAGAAAGAGCTTTTCTTTACAAAAGAACACAAGCCAATACATATAGAAGAAAAGCTCAAATTAGGAGAAAAATCATTATTTTGCAACTATCTCATCATAATTGGTTTTGGAAACAATGATCAATGGATACTACCTCCTTTGGGTAAAGCGTTGCTGGGGAATAGGATATTCACACAGTCTCAAATTTTAACATAAAGATTAGTTATTATTTTCAAATGGGAAAGGGCATCTTTACAAGGGGAAGATGTTTGTCGTCACCTGTAGTAGCTGCTAGGGATACTCCACCAGATCACCATGGGGTGTATTGCCCAGATGCTGTGTTTTGATCACTAACAAAGCTCAGTTCCCCATTTCTTCAGAGAATCCCTTCTGCTGAAGGGAGCCACCTTGCCCTTTAGGTTTCCTCTGCCCCAGCCCACCCCATCCATGGCAGCATACATCCAACAACTGGCTACCATGAGGACACAAATGGCCAGCCCCACGGAACCAACAGGAGGAGCTCTGTAACCTTCTTTATCCTCTGGAGCTACACCCTCCCCTCTTTGCCTGCCCACCAGGGATCAGGCCAAGGCAGAAGTTTAGTTGAGACCACACCCTTGCTTGCTTCTTGCTCTCTTCCTCTCCTACTTCACTCACCCCCTTACAGGTTCCTCCCACATCACACCGCAATAAATCCTATACCCTGATCCCTGCTGAGGTTTTAATTCTAGGGAACCCAAACTAAGACATGCCCTTAAGTAAGCAAACTTTGCCTTTGCTAATGTGACAAAATCACATCTTGTACTTTGAAATGTTATGCAATTTTGTTTCCAAAAAATACTTAACCTGAATCTAATTATGAAGAATCAATCAAACAAATCCAAATTGGGCCAGATACTTTAAAAGATTAAGTGGTGCCCAGATTCTTAAAAATAATGACAGTGTATATTTAAAAATAGTGAATAAAATAAATTTTAAAAACTTGGGAATTGTTCTGTATTATAGAAAACTAAGAATTATGACAACAAAATACTGTGTATAATCTTTGGTTGGATACTATATATTTTTTCCAAAAAAAAAACAAGCTTTATAAGAAATTTTAAGAACAGTTAATCATACTGAAAATTGACTTAATATAGATAATTTATATAATTGTGGAATGTCTTGAGGGTGACATAATAGTATTGTGGGTGGTGAGAAAAGTTTTTTCTTAGGAGATACACGTTGAAACTTAGAAGGGAAGTGTCATGATGTCTATGGCTTTTAAAGGTGTTGGAAAATAAGTGTGCTTCTTTTCTGTATATATACATTTATGGAGAGAGAGAAACAGAATTGCAAATCATTAACAACTGCGAAGGGTATAGCATGTATTTACTTTATTATTCTTTCAACTTTTCTATAGAATTGAAAATTCTCGTATAAAAAGTTGAGTGGGGGAAAGCAGGAATAATTTCACCAAAAAAAAATATTGATAGTCTTGAGACTATAATCCAAAGAATAAAATAAATGTACATGCAAAAATACTAGTATAACTACATGATTGAAGTAAAGAATGGACATTCTCTTGAAGTAAATGTGGGAGAAGGGACAACTCACCATTCAGAAGGGACAAATCACTATTAGGGCGCCACAGCAACAATTGCTGCAGGAAATCCACTGATAAATGCTAAAGTTGCTAGGCAAAACTTTGACACCAACAAGACATCTGCACAGCCCCAACATATCTCCAACAAAATATTACTTGCTGTGGTGTTCTTAGCCTAAGGCCATAGATTCCTCAATATGCCTTTCTCCAGGAGATGAATGTTAATTCCCCTCACCTTCAGAAAGGATTGGATTTAGTGTCCCACTTATTAAAAATTGAGTACAGAAAGAGAACCAGAGTAAATTCCTCAGACACTTGCAGACGCTATCTTAACCAAGTGGCCAGGTTCACATCACCAGTGATCATACAGAATGCTATGTGTAATATACCTTATATGATGCAATGAGAGGGCATATCACTGAATGGTATTTTTCCTCAAGATTTATGATACCAGTCTAATCACGAGAAATGCCCATCAGGCAAACCTAAAAGAAGGAAAATGTTACAAAATTGTTGACCAGTACTCTTCAAAAATGTCAAGGTCCTAAAAGCGAAGACTAAGAATAATCATAGCTTGGAGGAGGCTAAGGAGGCATGACAATTAAATGCAATATGGTATCTGGATTGGATTCTGAACAGAAAATAAACTTGCTGAAAAACCGGGACATCCAAATGTTAATTTCTTAGTTTTGGTCATTTTATCATGGTAACGTAAAGTTCAAAATTTGGGGAAGCTGAGTAAAAGGAATATAGAAACTCTGTACTCTTTGCAACTCTTCTGAAAGTCTAAAATTATTTTTAAAGTCTTTAATTTTTAGGAAAATTTTAGTATAAAATATGAAGAAAATCATGTGGACTGGGGGCTTTTTAAAAGGGGTGGTCTTTGAGTTCTTTCATGCTTATTGTCCTAGTTGAATTTTCCTGCTGATCATTTTTTCCATCAACTTTGGTATTTTTTACTCTTTCCAGTTGCCATAGTTTCGATGTTTTTCCTCAGAACCTCATGTTGAAATTTGACAGCCGATATTGGAGGTGAGGACTAATGGGAGGTATTTGGCTCATTGAGGTGGATTCCTCATGAATGGCGCCATCCTCTCTGTAACATGTGAGTTCTGCAAGAGTTGCTTGTTAAAAAGAGGCTGGCTCCTCCCTCCTTTTCTCCTGCTTCCTCTCTTGCCATGTGATCTCTGCACACACAGGCTCCCCTTCCCCTTCTGCCTCGAGTGGAAGCAGCCTGAGGCCCTCACCAGATGCAGATGCCAGAGCCCTCCTTTTTGCACAGCCTGCAGAAGAACAGTGAGCCAAATAAACCTATTTTCTTTATAAACTACTTAGCCTCAGGTATTCCTTTATAGCAACACAAATGGACTGAGACAAAAGTTTCTGATTTGTTTTACAATACATTTTATGTTAAATTTATGTTGTGCCTATAACTATGCCCTTTGTCTTTCTTTGAGTATTTGCATTTTTGATTTGTCTTAATTACCATGCTAGTTGTCCATTTCTTTTATTAAACTTTTAAGAGAAAGATTTTGATTTGTCTAATTTCTATTGTATTGTTGTTCATCTGTTCCACTGATTTCTATCTTTGTCTTTATTATTTCCTTTTTCCTGCATTTAAGGGTTTGCTCTTTTCCTGTTTTTCTAACTTCTTGACTAGAAACCTAACTCCTTTGTTTTCAGAACTTGTTGTTTCCTGACAAATATTGTATCAATTATTCATGAGAGACCCTGTAAGTGCAATGATTCTATTGCAGAGTTCAAAACAACCTCTATTTTTGCTTTCCCAAGAAAAGCACTAGTTTTCTTATGCAACTCGAGCTCTTGGCTGGTTTTTGAAGCTATTAGCTAATATGTTTATTCTTGGTCTATCAATTTGCATATTGCAATATCACCAGACAGAGATTTGTTTCTATCTGTTTTTGAGCAGTATTTAGAAGGGAGGAGCAATTAACTGTCTCTGGAGACTTTCTCCATTTCAAACTCTATAGGAGTCATTTTTCTGTCTTTTTCTCAGATCAAACAAGTCTCTATTTTTAATTCTTAGGCAGTTCTGCTCAGCTTGAAACAGTATTTGGTGTTAATATTGAAAAACAGGACATGGGTCCTCTTAGGCCTTTAAAACAGGAGTCCTTCCCATATGCCTGCGACACTGATGAACTGCCAGAGTTCTGTGGAGGAGGAGAAACAAGTTAATAAACTACCCTCATGGCAGGCTCCACTAGTTGTCTTTTATCATAGAGGAAGTATTGAAAGATTGAAGGAAACTGCCTCTTGCACCACCCTGGGCCTGCCATCCTTCCCCAATGCCAATTAAGTATTTCATACATTTTAAATAGAAATGAACTTTTCAGTGAAAAATTTCTACAAAGTGAAGCAAGCAACCTCTGAGGCATTCATAATTTAGAATAAATAAGAGGCATGCAAACCAAATGTGTATTTCTCCAGAACATTGACCACCAGCTAGAATGGAAGTGTCCAGGGGCTCTGTTTTGAATCAAGTGACTCTCAGTGGCTCTTCTTTAACAGCAAAGTGAGAGAATTGAAAGAAAAAAGGGGAGGAAGGAAGGAAGGAAGGAAGAGAGAGAGGAAGGCAGGAAGGCAGAAAGGAAGGAAGGAAGAAAGAGAGAGAGAGAGGGAGGGAGGGAGGAAGGAAGGAAGGAAGAAAGAGGGAGGAAGGAAGGAAGGGAGAGAGGAAGGAAGGAAGGAAGAGAGAGAGGAAGGAAGGGAGGAAGGAAGAAAGGAAGAGAGAGGAAGGAAGGAAGGAAGAGAGAGAGGAAGGAGAGGGAGGAAGGAAGGAAGAGAGAGAGGAAGGAAGGAAGAGAGAGAGGAAGGAAGGAAGGAAGGAAGAAAGGAAGGAAGGAGGGAAGGAAGGAGGGAGAGGAAAGACAGAAAGGAGTATACATGTGAAAATTCATCATGTTGATACAATCTCAATAGAATCTTAATAGTTTTTTTGCTACAGCAGTGGCTACTGGTAAAATCTTTTAGAATACTCTGAACATTTTCTTCTCATTCATTTTTTCTATTACGCCACTCCAAACCTCTCAATATATTAAAATTAATAATTCTTAAGAGACAAACAGACCCATAAGCTTAAATGTTATTAATCTACTTTATGTAAAAATCCATCTTGTAAAATAAAAATGTCCTATTCACAGCCCAAACAACTAAGGTACCTTCCTCATTATCTCCCACAATTCTTGCCATTCAGAATCTTGAAAGTAGCACCAATCTATCATATTTTTTCCTGAGAAAACCGCAACATAACTTGGGATCTGGTCCTTTCTCTCTTTATCCCTTCTCTTCCCATTCCAGCATACTACCCCACTGTAACATTTTATGAATACATGTAGAAGAGAATTTGCTGAGATTATGTAAGATAACAAGACATGTTTCTAAGCCATGCAATGAAGAATAGGCTTCTATAAACAGGCAGAAGGAAGACCTTTAGTTTTTCATAGAGAAAGGTGAAGGAAGCTCTTCTACATCTATGTATGAATGGGATAAAATTGTATAGATTTGTTCATTCATGCAACAAATATTTGTTAAGTCTTTATTATGTGCCAGTTGCTATGGGATAATATGTAACCCCACACTTGTCATGTCCATTGAGTCTAGCAGTTAATCCTCAAATACAGATTTTCTATGTTTCCACAGAAAAATAAGCAAGATGCACTGGCTCAGAGAAAGGCCAAGGATTATCTTAGGAACAACCACGTTATACTCTTACGGTTGTACAATTATCAGTCTTCCCACAATGGTATATTTGAAGCTACTTCAGAGGTGTATAATAACATTAATCACAGTAGATATTTATCATGTGGAAATGCTGTGTCAGATACTGGACAAATGCTTCTTTTTAGTCTTTCAGTTAGCCAGGCTACCACCAGTGAGGTTGATAGCATCATCCTGTTTATAAAGCTCTTGTAACTGAAATTCAGAGAGTGACATTGGCTTGCATGATGTTCACCTGGGTAATAAGGATGAAACTACAATTCATAGCCGAGTCAGATGATGATAGGACCAAATCACTGCACTTGCAGAATTACACATTTTTGTTGCTTTAGCAGCTAGTGGGTCAATTATTTTTCAAGGCTAGTATTCAGACCAATCCCAGTTAATTAAAACAAACCAATAAATGAACCAATCCACAAAAATCTAAGGCATGACTGACAGGGGCTCACCAGGTTCTTGTAGGTGAGACAAAATTTTGCTGCGCTGTATAGCTAACAGGATAATTTCACCCCTACTTAAAAATCCTCTTGAAGGGTTGCACTAGAAGACTTTCCCTCTGTTTCACTTTGCTCATTTGCCCTAACAAAAAATAAATTCCCAACTACACTCTTGGTAGATCTGTGGTCTTTGTGTTTGTGACTTTCTATTCGCGATTTAGGGCCAAGATTGGTCTATAGGAAGCTTCATGGAAAGAGTTACTTGGGAATACACCTTTCAGAGGCGGGGACAAAAAAAGAAGTGTGGCCTCTAATCATGTATTTGTCAGTTTATTAACCATACCTAAAAACAAAATAGTTTTGTAGAAGAGAGTATCGGCAACTTTCTAAGTAATAAATTAACAATCATTTGGAATAATAAAAAATATATAAAGTACTAAGGAACCTCTCATGTAGCCCCATTAGGTTATTGGAGAGGAGTCTTGAGTTCTTCTAAGACAAGGGTTTCATTGTCTCATCTTTGTATTCAAAGTGTCTCTGACTTTGAAAAAAGAAAACATGATAATTTTTAATTTGGATACACATGTATGGTGGATATTTGGAACAAATAAATATTGACTTAAATTTAGTAAGTGGATGTAGAGAAAATAGTAGGAAATATATGTGCCTTGAACCAGATTAACACAGGTCCAAATTCTAACCCAGCTATTAATATATGACCTTGGGTGAGGGACAACCTTTCTGAGTCTCAATTTCTTCCTTTGTAAAATAATGAAGATCATTTTATAATAGAATTTTTTATCTAAGGAATCTCTGATAAAATAGTGATCATCTTTATCAATATGAAGGAAAACTTTAGAGGCTTAAACAAGGGTGTTTCTTTTTTTCAAGGAGACTGCAAAAATTAATAGAAAATCAACTTCCTGGTTATTTTCTAGGTCAACAATTCTTTTGTCAATAATTTTCTTGTAAATGTTCAATTTACACTGATCACTTTCCTAGTCAATGTACAACATATGCTAACAAGTTTACTTTTTAAGATAAAAAGACCAGCAAAATGTATATACCATTGTTATATATGGCTTATTTTATAGGTCTTATAACTTTATAATTTTCTTTTAGCTAGAGAATCACAGGAGAAAAATGCTGACTTGAAATTAGATATTTGGAAATGTTTTATAATTTGAATAATAGCCTGTAAATGAGAGGACACAATATTATTCATCAAATATTAGTAATAGCAAATTTTCCTAAGTATATCTCTGGCTTGAACACTTAGAATTGTCAGACTGTTTTTATGCATAACTATTTTATAAGCAGAACAAAATATTTTTCTATATATGTAATTATTTTTCCAGTGTATAAGACTACACTGATATAATGAGTTCAATTATGACACCAAATCACTTCGTTTTCTTCAGTATGTGGTGCCAAAACTTAAGCACAGAGAGTTACTTGTAATTACACAAACAAAGTTTTTGTGTTATGGAAATATATTATAGATTTTTCTCACCAGAGGCCCTTGATAAAATGGAATAAACAACGGAAAGGTAGTTAGGCAGCCTGGGATGCAGTCTTGATTCAGCCCCTACTAGAATGACACCGTGAAAAGTCACTTTACCACTTTTGGCATTTGATTCTTCTCTCATGACACTGTCATGTTTCTGTGTAACCTCGAAGGCTTTCCTCAGCTCTTATGTAATCCATGATTCATGGCGGGACTCAAATGGTATGAAACAGTTAATTTTTCTTTTTAACCCCTGACTTCAGTATTTCAATCACAAATATCAATTCCTTAACCAGTGTGGTGGTTACATAAGTATTTGTTCTATAATCATTCCCTAAAATGTACAAGCCTACATTTAAATACTAAGTGCTGTACTTTATGTATGTGTGTATGTTATAAATTAATTTCTAAGTGTTTATGAAGTCAAAATGAGTAGTAGAAGAATAAGAGAATAAAAATATGCATTTTTTTTCCTACAGGACAGTGGAAAGCACAAAGATGAAATGTTTTAAATAGCCTGCTTTTTTCTCTGATGTCCCCTCGACAGTCTTGTGATGTCCTTTTGCTGTTTGTCTGCTGTCTTCCCTAAACCTAGTAACAAAGGCATTATTGGGGTGCTATAAACTAAAAACTAATCAGACAGAGGTTTGCAGTGAAGTTCGTCTTCTTGAAAATTATCATCATTACCAATGAATGCTAAGGACAAAATCTTTGCTAATCTAGCTTCTCTGCTTATGAAGATTTATTTTGATGAAAATGTGTTAATTTTTGCCTCCCACCATGCACAAAGACACTCTTTCCAGGTGTTGGAAATGTAATGACCCAAACCCTTCTGTAACCAACCCCCCCTTCGTATGGGACCAATTTAATTATGTCTTTCAATTTTTAATTTAATATATTTTTTCTTTTTTATTTGCTGTATTTGGCTGTGGTCATGAAACTCTTTGGGATCCAACAATAAACAAAATCCAATTACCCCTCCAAAACCACCCCAATTGCTCACGGACTTTGACCACCTCTCTCTTCACCACTACAGGGTTCCCAGCAAATGCAGATTCAGCCTCGGTTATAGACAGAGCACTTCATCTGACTTCATGAGAAGTGCGGGGCCCCTGGGGGAAATGTTGCGTCTAAGAATATTTACGTTTTACAGAAAACAAACAGGACTGGAAGCGGTTGTTTGAGGAATCACATGTAGCATATTTGAGTTCATCCTACCCTTTGGGCAAAGTATAACCAACCCTAAGATTTAGAAGTGGTGAATTTCTCCATGCTTCCTACCATTTTTCTTTCCTCTTTTCCTCTTCCAGCTCCCAGCTCCTTTCCTTAAATAACTTTTTTTTTTTTTGCACTAAACATTAAGCTCATTGATTACAAGGATGGCACAAAGTGACCTAATGATGGGTCAGTCTTAATGAGAAAAGCGGCTGCCTGTGATGTGGCCTGGCTCGGGCCACCCCCCCACTGTGTCCCTGCATGTCAGCCTTAGTCTCCTTTAAGAGACTAGAGCGTGGAAAATCAACAGAGAACCGCCCGGTGCCTCCTCACAGAATGGACCATGTGCATGGCTATTTAGCCCTGTAAAAGAGAGCACATTTGCACAAATGGGAGTGAACATAAGGAGTCCTTCAGAAGAGAATGGGGCCTTGGCAAATTTATAGACTCCCCTGAAAGAACGTGATTACAGATCATTATCCAATTGAGGCAGATTGATGGGCTGGGGTCAAAGTAATATTGCAGATCTCACCAAGGGGACAATGGCTGCTTGTCACAGGGAACGAAAAGAAAGGGAAGGGAAACTACCACACAGAGAGGCAAGGCTTAAGCTTTACCAACTGCTATGAAAGGGCCTGGATGTGTGTGTCGTTACTTTTCCTGAGCACCATGTTTTATTTTATGTTACAAAGGACGTGCCATTGAGATCAAATTGGGCATTCAAACGTAACCCAATAAAGAACATAGAAATGGCCTAAATACAGACTGCAACTCTCACTTTTTTTCTTCCAAAAGGCAATAAAGCAACATACATAGGGAAGAGGATGATCCATATGGAAATGCGTAATTCCGTCTCTCTCAAATAGAACTCAGAAAATACAAATATGCAAAATACAATAGCAGTAGATAGAAGTTCTCAATGCTTACAAATACAACACCCTTTAGCTGATAGCCAGGAGATGAACCGATTTGACTTTGAAACTTGGCAACATCTGGTCAAGCAAAACTGTAGCCCTGAAATTGAATAAAACAGGAATAAATGCATTCCCACTGCTTCCTTTGCATCGATTCCTGAGTGTTTAAAAGTGCTTTGCATTCATGCCTTCTACAAAATGCAATACAAAGGCAAAAGAATAGCCAGCACGCCAATGTGCATTTGCCTTTCATTTTAAGATCGGTTTTTGGTACCTAGAGATTTAGAAGTGTCAGGCAAACATTTATTCAGAGGAGATCTGATTTTTGCCTGTTTTGTTTGGGTCAAGAAAGTATTAGCAAGTAAAAAAGAACTAATTTAGATTCTGAACATATTTTACCCTGAAGAAGCATAGTCAGTTTTCTCACATACAGACTGTTTCTAAACAATAAGATTATTTTGGTTTCTCCAAGTTATAGTTATCTAAAATTTGAGTACATATACATACATACACATATACATACATATATGTATATATATATATGTGTGTGTGTGTGTGTGTGTGTGTGTGTGTGTGTTTTGGAAATATTTTATAGATTTTTCTCACCAGGGGCCCTTGATGAGATGGAATAAACAATGAAAAAGTAGTCAGGCAGCCTGGGATGCAGTCTTGATTCAGCCCCTACTAGAATGACATCCTGGGTAAGTCACTTTACCACTTTTGGCATTTGATTCTTCTCTCACGGCATTGTCATATTTCTGTGTAACCTTGAAGGTAACACACACAGACATATGTATGTATGTGTTACATATGTATGTGCACATGAATGTATGTATATGGAAGGAAAACTCAGTTTGGAAACGTAAAAATTTTTAGCTTTTTTTTAAATGAGAAAATTATGCAGTTATGGATTCTATTCTAATGATACCCTTTTTTCTTATTAAGACAAATAGACTCTGATACAATGAATAGTTATATTATCATTCTTTTATATTTTACAAATATATATAGCTTACTTTCCTTCCTCATCAGATATTATAGGTGTAAACATATTGTGAGATATTGAGGAAATTCACGAATCAAGATTTCCTTCTTAAAACAGCTTTTTTTTTCTGTTTTCCCCATCACAGGGTCTTTACTGTTCCTAATGAGCTCTTAATGAGCTGTCAATTGCTTATGCAAATAGAGAAGGAAACAGACGCTGAGGAGTTGATACCTACTCAGTTAAAATATGACACCGCCTAACCTCTCAAAGTTATTAAAAATGGAAATTGCTCTAACTTAATAACCGGCCTTGACCCTCCTTTTCCTCCAGTTTTTAACTTTGTTTAGGTATCTGATATGAAAGAATCTGAGATATCATTGCTTTACTTCAAGAGTACTGGTTTTATGTTGGAAAATACTGAGTGCATAATAAAGATTTTAGGTTGAATGTCCTGGACAGATCCCAGATGAAAAGAAAGAATTGAATGGTAATTGTTTATCTTATTGGTGACATGTATGCTAAAAGACTTGGAAGTTTATGTGCCCAACTGATAACACTGCTTATCTCTCAAGAAAGGAAATAAAATAAAAGTGGTAAACAGGGATTTTTATATACCTATATATTGCTTGAATAAATTAACAAGAAATTAAAAGAAAATAAAAAATAGTCCCTTTGTCCCTTGAGGAATTCAAAAATTTATCTGGAAAATCAAGTTGATTTTCCAAAAATATTTAGGGTTCATGCACATTTATACAGAAATGAAATTCTTACTTTCTAAAGAGTTTTTCTCAAATTTTATATCAAAGCCACTAAAGTATTAATCAATGTATTTTATTTTTCCTAAATATGTGGCATCCATCCACATATTGAGACTTGAAGGAATCAGAAGTAACTTCTTTAAACTCAAGAACTTCAGCAGAGATGAAATGGTACAATGTAATGCTGATATTTGATTATACTCCGGAAATGGCACTTTGTAGCTAGCCTTTAGAGACCTTCGCGTCTAATACAGAACAAGCTGAGGTCAGTGATAGAGCTGAACATCCTGGGTCAAGGGGAATTGCATGAGGGAACGGGGCTGGGGGCTGTCTTTGACTGCCGTCGTACTCATTAACTTGCTATTGCTTTACACCTAGATGAGGATCCAGCTGACTTCACCTGTGTGCCAACCCCTTGTCCCCAGTCCTGCCTCAGTACATAGAGTATCCAGTACATAGAGGCCTCATGTACTGGAGGTTAGGAATGATAAACCCAGAATGTGGTATCCTTTGCAAGATGTCCAGACAATTGGACTTAGCTAGGGGACCAATTTTATTAAGTATCTAAGGGGAGAAAAGTGCTGAGGGAAAGAAAGGGCCAGGAGGCATGGTAAGTGGGAGCTCACAAAAGTAAACTGATCCACATTCCCATTTATCTGGGACTGATCCTGACTTGGAAGCAAGAATAGGCAAGAGGCTTGATACTCCTCCAGGGGCAAAAATATTGCCTGACAAGCTAATTGTAATTGTAAATCACATGTACCTGATCGCATGTTTCACAAATTATGAGAGTAACTTAGAAGATAACTGAGCCGGTGTCGGTGAGGTCCAAAGCCTCTCAGGGTTCTATGCTGGATTCAGTAGAAGGTGAGCTCACTTTAGTTGTCTTGGCACAAAGAGATTGGCACATTTCTTTATAGCCTGGTGTCATCTTGGCAACAGTACCTACTTTCTATAGGAGGCCTGCTGTACACGGTGAGGTTCTGTAGTAAACCCAGAAATGATGAGCCTTGCTGTGAAAGACAGGCTAAGTTCAGGCATGAGTACACCATGTTTTAGGGTTTTCTCACATCTCTGTTTTCCAATAGTGTCCTCTCCTGGCTCTGCACTGAATTGAAAATAAAAAGGATAGAAAACCCCAGTCCTTCAGACTACAAATACTTCGTTAGTTTTTCAACACATCAGATAATGAACAGACAGGAAAATGCCTAGTGCTTTGAATTTTCCCAAATGTATATTGGCAAAGACATTTCTAAAAATTTCTCCAAATGCAATACAGACAAGGCACATTGATTTTATAAAGCAATCATTCAGGCTGAGATGGAAATTGATATTGTATCCTTTTGATTAACCATAGAACAAGTATAGACAAAATGCAGATATAATTACCAACCTGAACACCCTTCGACTTTGCTTTCCTCTTGAAATAAATAAAAATACTTATTTCACTCAAATAGTTGCTGTGTTCTAATGTACATCATGGGTCTGTTTGTAGAAAGAGAAAAATTAAAGCTTGTACCTTATTCTCTAAAGAGTATATGTGAGCAACAAAATACTTTGAGAGAACTGTAGCTAAATTCTAAGGAACAGATTTACATATTATGTGTGTGTCCAGCACAGTTAAGGTAAGGCTCTGATGATTTGGCAGAAAGGACCATATACTGTAAAAATGTATCTATTTATGTAGATATTCTGTAAGGAAACCAGAAAAGAACTTTCATGAGGCTGTGGCTGGTTATATATGGCAAAGTGGATGAAATGTTATAATTTGGCTATTTGGGGACTAATTTGGTTCATATTCCTAAAGTTACCTTTGATTGCCTAAAACACTATCTAGAATGCCTCAAAAAAATTTAAGAAAACAGAAAAAAGGTGATGAATCCCAATAGATTTGGAATTAATCTCAATTAAATGGGATGAAATAATACATTATTTTTGTATTGTATTTTAACATATTTTCCATCTATTTTTAAATGGATTATTAACAGTTTTTAGTCTTTCACATTCAAAATACTTTAAAAAGGTTTCAGCCAGTTACAGTTAAATATCCCTTTCCATTGATATTTTTCTCAACCTTAGTTGGCTCTTACAAGTTTAGGGGCTTATTACAGCATTGTTGTTCATTCTTACAAATGTTCAGATCATTTTTTTTTTTTTTGAGATGAATTCTCATTCTGTCACCCAGGCTGGAGTGTAAGTAGCCCAATCTTGGCTCACTGCAACCTCCGCCTCCTGGTTCAAGCGATTCTCCTACCTCAGCCTCCCAAGTAGCTGGGACTACAGGCACATGCTACCACATCTGGCTAATTTTTTGTATTGCTAGTAGAGATGGGGTTTCACCATGTTAGCCAGGATGGTCTTGATCTACTGACCTCGTGATCTGCCCGCCTCAGCCTCCCAAAGTGCTGGGATTACAGGTGTGAGCCACCGTGCCCAGCCCAGATCATTTTTATGATCATGACCACTATATTTTCAGGTGCTATGATTTTTGAAGTACTATATTGATGCATTATTTCATTTAATTCTTGAAGAGCATGATAGATGATTTGAGGCTAGAAAAGTTAAGCAATTTCTTAAGGAAATACATAATAAAGGGAAAATAAACTTAATATAATACTAACCCGTCTTACTTTCTCTAAGCCTGCTTGGGTCTGCTGGATGAATGACGACAGGTCACACACTCTTAAATCAGAGCACTGGACCCATTCATTTCTGGGATGCCTTCTTAATTTTCACATTTAAAAGTGCTTATAGAGTCTCAGAATTTCCTACAATAGTCCTGTTATGTTGCAGACATTAGACACCCCCAGTTTCTGAAGTTACTGAAAGACAATGAAAGACAACAGTCCCACCTCTAGGGCCTTGTTTGCATAGCAGTAAATGAGGGCAACATACTGAATGTGATCAGGCAATGACCCGATCCATGTTTTATGTAAAGTTAGATTCACTCAGGCCCTCCCTATGAGTAAATGAGAGGTTCAAGCCAAATTTGACTTGGTTGCAGCCAATGGAAGGCCATTTAATGCATTTTAATTAATTGAATGAAGCATCTATTGAATATTGATTGTGTATATAACACCCTTTAAATAATGCTAAAGAAACTTACAAGAACTTTGTATGCTGTTTGGTCTGAAAGAATTCATGTAACTTCCAAGAAATGAACAATCTGTTCCATAGAAGTAGTTGGGTTCATTCACTATTGTGCTTCACTAGTTAGTGATAAAGTGGAATTTTTCAGACTCCTCCACATAATATGGGAACATTTCAATGGTAATTATGACCCAACTTTCCTCATCACAGAACACAAGTACCATATATTTCTTCACAGCTGTGACAATTTATTTTTACATCTCCACCAATGGATACATCTTTTCGTAAACTTGGCAAAAGTGTTTCTCTTTTCCCTCTAAAAAATAAGTTCCCACAACAGAACATCTTTTTACTCTTACAGGAAATAGTGTTTTTCAGCCATGAAAACTATTTCACTTCCGCCCAAAGTCTTACATTAAACTTCAAAGCATAGCCACAGAATCTTTCACAATTTCATAATACTACCAAACCTAGATTTTTTTTTCCCCCAGTTTTGCCAGAAAACAAAATTTGTTTTGTCCCAGAATTGTTTTCTGTAAGAAAGAAGTCTCCCCAGAGATTAAGGAATTTTTAAAATGTTAATACTAAGTAATTGCAGTATTGTTTGCAAGACAGCATAACACAAGCAACATGTCTCAAAGACTAAATTGTAAAGAACTGATTGTGTCAGATACTGTCACAAGGTAGCAGATTATTGGTATCAAAATGAACAAAGGCACCTTTATCAAATGGATTCCACTTGGATGAGAGTAAATGCATATATTAGCAATCTTTTTCCAGGAAGGCTTTTTCTATATCTAAGGATGTATGCACCCTTATGAGGCCAATGTAACTCCATGTTACCGCCCCTTTACTGATGAAAGCTTTGATCAAATCCAAATTGGTTGGTTCCAGACTCACTTGTGATTCCAACAGCTTAAGGAACATACTATGAATACACTCTTGCAAAGGTAACACAGTGTAAAAACTGCTACGTTGCTCTCTTTAGGGATCCAAATGGACTGAAGACAGGCTGAATGCAATACTCTCCGGAATGAAGTGTTTTTTTCTAACAAGTGTTCATTCCAGCATAATTTCATCATCATCATGAATATTTATTTCTATCCCAATATATAACGCCTTTTATTTATATAGCAAGCTATTAATTTTCAAAGTACTTTAATATACATTTCCCCATTTTGTTTTCATTCTGCTAATCAATAAATGAATATTTTAACTGGTATATTCAAGGTTATATGGCAATAAATGGAAGATCTAATACTACAGATTAGGTCTTCTGATGCCCGTAAAGATATCATTTCATTCTATTGCAGTGTCTGAGTATTTAAAAGATATTTACTGAGGTTGCAGGTGCATGGTATGCCTGTTAATGCCTTTATTTCAGCAGAACAAGCTCTCTCCATTATATCTAGTAGAGACAGGATTTTCTTGCTTTTGTTATTGCAATTACACAGAGAAAGATCTCTGCCCAAGTTGAGCTGGAAAGACCAATTGCAGTGCTCTGTGTACACTATGATTTTTGGCTCATGAAGAACAGGATGATATTTTAAATCTATTATTGAGATAGCTTTAATCGTCACATATACTCATGAATGCATGATGTAAAGGGCCCTCCTAGTTACTGCTAAAGAATGACAGTGGGAAATATATTTGAAAAGAAATGGAAGATATTCCTAAAGAAAACCGACCAATAATACCTCATATGTATCATTGCCATTAATCTAAGATAAAAGAAATTGTGTCAATAAATAATATTATTGTATCATTTAACATAATATTTTGGCAAGCATTACAAGACTACCAATCCGTATCAGCAGGGCTGTGCTTAGTGACCTGACAGCAATTTGTATCTGGGCCTTTTTCCGTCTGCTGGGGTGGGGGTGTGAATCCCCTTTGACTGTCAGTCTAATTAACCCCTGTTCTAGATGGGAGCCTGTTTCATCCTTTCCCATTGACCTCTGCAGAATATATGTGAGGTTAAGAAAACTATGACTTTCTATGATTCAAAAGCTTATGATAATATAATAGAAATATAGAAATTCAGAGCAGAAAGAGACACAAAACACGATCTAACCCCAACTCCAATTTACATGTAAAGAAACAACCTTGGATGTAACTGTCCAAGGTCACAGAACTAGTCAGTTGAGCAGAGTTGCTCCTGCACCCATTTCTTGGGCAGACTGCTTTCTTCTTCAGATTTTACTGTGCTTATCTAAGAAGTACTGTCAATCTTAAAAACTGGAGGAAAGAGAGACAGAAAGAGTGAGACACACACACACAAACAGAAAGAGAGAGAGAAGGTAAAAGAGAGAGAAGATAGATCTTCAGCAAGCAGGAATGAAAGAAGTCATTCTTTTTTATTCTGGGCTTTCTCTAAACTAGTAGGTTTCAAATGATTTATTGAGCTCAATATTTAAACATTTCCCTTTAAATTGGTAAATAACAACATATATTATACTCATACTTAGCAAATTGTATTACATGGCTAACATGTAGATTGAGGTTATTTCTATATAAACCGAGGTCATCAAAATTAGACAAACACTACATTAAACTGAAAATTTAAATACTTGCTCTTTCCCACATGTTCTTTTTGGCCAACTTAAAGAGCATTTATTTTTGTCCATTTGAAATTTTAAAAATTGGAAGAAGTGATTTCAAATATGTCAAAATATTTGCCATTGTCTATACTAATCTGTTTTAATGACTTGCCATTTACTGCAGGTGGTCATTGAATGCCTTTCTCTAGGAGATGCTGTACTTCAAACATGAGAGGCTATAAATCTTGGGAATGATAAGTCTCAGACCAGTCAGGGTTTCAGTAGGCCATGTTGCTCATTTGTATAGCAGATGATCTGAGGCCAAACCTTCCTGCAGCCCGGAGACAACTGGATGGCAGACTGTGACATGCTCATTGCCGTGGGGCTCCAGGCCTTAAGCAATGCTGATGCTGGTGCATTTTGACCCTGGCTAATTGGACTGCATTTCCTGTGATGCTCAAGAGTCCTCCGCCCATTAGTCCATTTTGAAGCTGTACTAGCTCTGCTTAATAACTGCATTAGATTGCTCAAACGTATTTCCCTGTGACAGGAAAAATGCCTGGTTTCTTCATTTGGCATTCGGTCACATCATGCACACAAGAATGATGTCAAGTCACCTCTTATGAGAACAGTAAAGGAAAAAAAACTACACTAAATCGTGAGATAGAATGTTAGGTATGAGAGGAAAATAGTCAACAAAGCCACCTTGAGATTTTGTTTGACTAGCAACTATCTGGACAAAAACAAAATGAAAGACTCAAGTTATTTTGTTTTTTTGCATAAAGACAATTTCCACATAATGGGCAGTGGTTCTTTATCTCCTGCTGGTGCCGGCTATGTCATTCTTTAAGTTCTCAGTTTTCTTCAGCAGGGACATCTCCTTCTAACGCCTATTCTTTAAGTATTTTCAAGTAGACAAATGTCAGCTGGTAACTGCCACTGGCACCAGGAGAGATAAAGAAAATCATTTGCTAACAATTATAATTGTACATAAGAAAAGTAAATCACAGCTGATTTCTTTCCATTAAAATCTTGACCTCGAGGATGATTTTTAAAGAATATATATTAATGCTATCCAGACTTGAGATGCTTTCTTTTCCATGAGCTTTGAGGGAGGAAAACAGCTGGGAAGGTAATGATATATCTTTAATATCCTAAAGGAAATGTAGGCTAAGTCAGTTACCCGACTTATATTGACCATAAAGACTTCACTGGGCCATTTCATTAGTTTATTGGGTTAAATTGAATAAGAAGGGACTTTAAATGAATTATAACCAGCTTGTGGAATAACAAATATATTGTGTATGAGAAAATTAGCTCCATGTGACATCCATAGCCACCATATGTAAAACGCCTATTATTTGTACTGTCTCTTTGAAAATCATTTTATTGGAATGTATCAGCTAAACCAAAACACATGACTGTCCTTCTTGGGACGTGAAAGAAACCACTGAAGACAAGTTTCTGCCCAGCCCCTGCCCCTAGCATGTGAAAACGCTGGGAAAAGCAGCCCTGAGGAACTTTTTTCAGTGTCCATGTAATAGCAAGTGCATCACATGCATGCTGAGCCATTAGCTGCCTCTGTCTAAAAGAATTTGGTCAACATTTAGGAATTCACTTAATGAAAGGCCAGTCTATTAAAGCTCTGTTGGCCAGAAGAGCAGATTGTGTCTTTCTTTCCAACTTCCTGGGTCACTGCAAGTGATGCTCGGCAGGGCCCCCATGTGATGTAGCCCAGGCCCTGGACAACAAGCTAGCATTGTGACATTAGAACCTGCAACTTTTTTGCTGTAGATTCCAGACTTTATTTCTAGGATGCAGTTTATTTTGCGCGCTGCTGCATCAGATTGCTTATTTTAGTTAATGCATGACGTGTAATTGTTCTTGGAAAGTGCTCTCAGGTGTTCTCCCATTATGGGGGTGCATCTGTGATACAGCAGAGTGACGAGGTCATTCCTGATGCACAACCCAGTGGAGGTGAGAATTCTCATCACCGGCAAAGCACTATGAATCCATTGTAAGAGATGACCTCCTGCAGGCTAATGCAAAATCACTATTTGTTTAGAACTCATTTTTAAGAACTGGTTGAATAAAAACTTGAATCCAATATAGAAGGAATTCCTTGACAAAGAAGCTACATTAATTATAAAATGAGTATTTCTTTAGTGTTGAATGTGGTGTTAAGGAATTTTCCCAGATGTTGTACTCTTGCTTGTATTTCCTATTTTCATGGGAAAGTGTTTTTATTATTTTAAAACCATCTGGATTGTTGTAAGCAGCAATATTGAGTAAGACTAATATTCTTAGTAATGAATCTACTAGTTATAATAATAACAACAAACTTTTTAATGTACGCTATTTATAATTTGGCTAGATATAACTATGGTAGTCGAATAATTTTACATGCATAACTTCATTCAATAACAAGGCAGTGAGATAAATACTATTGTTATCTCATTTTGCAATTAAAAGGCTCGAAAGTATTTTTTCATAGTCACAGAGGTCTGCCTAGTTCTAAAGTCTTTTCTCTAAACCACTATACCACTTCCTTGTGAGACCTTCAAAGAGATTTTTTTTTTCTAAATGACATGACTTGGTAAAAGAGCATTGATTACTTTGTCAAAGATAACAATGACACTTTTGATGAAATATAATTTTATCCTACTTTCCAGAGAATCAAGGGCACAAGTTTTCTCTCAGGTGATTCTATGCATTTGGGTGAACAACAAAATCTCATGAAATAAACACCACAGATCACTGCTGACTTAGATCAGAGGGAAGGATGTGGAAGGGAAGGGTTCCTGTGGAGTGGTGGTGTCGGGTGACAGACATGAGTTCTATTATTTCTTCAAGAGCAATATACATCCAAGAGCTTACAGAATCATGTGCTTACCATGGAGGATGCTAGCAGTGATGATAGTTAAAACCAGGTCCCAACACACACATATATGAAAGGCCATGGATTTCTATGCAGCTGTTAAAGAACCCATTTGTAAATTTGAGAGAAATATTGCTTGCAATGAAAACAGGAGTTTGGAAGTGGCCTTAAAGATGAACCAAAACAATCTTCTCATGTTTTAGATGAAAACTCAAAAATCAAAGATATGAAGAGGTGACACTTACCTAACCATACAGATTTTGAATGGCAAAGACCAAACCCAAATCTTTTATTAAATCTGAATATTCATTAAATCAAAACATAACTCGGTGACTAGTGCATAGAAATATACTCAATAAATATCATTGTTTTTTCCTCCTTTCCACATTGTGATCCAGTGTGTACTATTCAAGTCTGTGACCACTCTTGTGTTAACAACAGTGAAGGAAAATCATTTATTGGATGCCTTTTCTGTGTTGGATGTGATAATAGGAGATTCTTTTTAAGCAGAACTGTTCCAAAGCCCAAAAAGATTCTAAGAGCTATTATAAAAAGGTATTATCAACTGTGCCAGACTTTAAGCCAAAGGCATTGAAAATGGATCTACATAGAAAAGGGTAGAAAAAGAGTTTATACTTTGGGGTGAGAGAATTGCTTGGTTTAAATTTTCTATAAATTTGGACTCTGTATCCATCCTTATTTTATACTTGTAATTACAGCCTACCTCTAAATCTGTTGGGCTCAGAAAACAATTCCCCCAAAATATGGCACGTTGGAATGCTAAGTACTTTGAAAACTGAAAGGCCTCAAAAATAGGCCTTAGAACCAAGATCTCTCTCTGACCTTTCCCCATCTCCCTGTCTCTTTAATTCCTTTTTCCAAAGCACGGGGAGGCACTCTCACTGGAATTTTCTAATCTGACAACAAAAGCTTCTTTCCAAAAGAAATGTGGTAAGTCTCAAGACCCCCTCTTTAGGAATCCCATCAAATAACCAGGAAAGATCTACCACCCAATAAGAGAAGAGATTGGAGTCCTCACCACTCCCAGACAGATTTTTCATCCATTCTTCTGAGGGCAGCTCTGAGAGATTACCTAGGGGGCTTTATGTGCATAAGACAATTTTTGTACTTATGCAGTTTCTTCCTTCTCTTCTTATAACTTGTCCCATCCAGCTCCCAAAGAGAATCCTTTGCAAATCACAGCTTGAACACGTCTAATCCAAAAATGCAAAATGCTCTGAAATCTGAAACTTCTTCAGCACCAGCATAACATACCAGGTGGAAAAATTCTGATGTTTCTTCTCACACACACAAAAATGTTGGGCACAGTGGCTTATGCCTGTAATCTCAGCACTTTGGGAGACTGAGGCAAGACGATTACTTGATCCCAGGAGTTCAAGACCAGCCTGAGCAACAAGACAAGACCCTGTCTCTATAAAAAAATTTGCCGGGCCTGGTGCCACATGCCTATAGTCCCAGCTACTCTGGAGACTGAGATAGGAAGATCGCTTCAATCTGGGAGGTTCAGGCTGCAGTGATCCATGATCACACCACTGCACTCAGCCTGGGTGACAGAGTAAGACCCTGTCTCCAAAAAAAAAAAAAAAAAAAGTGTGTGTGTGTATATATATGTATGTGTGTGTGTGTGTGTGTGTGTGTATATATGTATATATATATGTATGTGTGTGTGTGTGTATATATATATATATATATATATTGCACTCATCTTTCAATTAAAGCGCAGCATTGTAGGTGGAGACCAAACACCCCTCTTTGCTGTTGCTGTGGTTTAACAGCTGGTACAGGTGTCTTGTGATGCTCCCGTGCTGCTCAGTTGCCCTTAGCACATTATGTTTTCACTGCATTAGTGGCATGTCATATGTTTTACTGTTAAGTGCTTTTGTGTGAATGAGTACAAGAAAACAACTGCTGATTGACAGCATATAAATTCAGAGTCAGGAATGACAGTGATGCCAAACAGCACAGATTGTCCACAGTGGGGGCTGAGATACTGACATCTTTGTTTTCTGATAGTTCAATGTACACAAACTTTATTTCATGCACAAAATTATTAAAAACATTGTCTAAAATTACCTTCAGGTAATCTCTGTGTACATAAGGGTTATAGGAAACATAAACGAATTTCATGCTTAGACTTGGGTCTCACCACCAAGATATCTCATTATGTATATGAAAATATTCCAAAATCCAAAAATATCTGAAATCTGAAACACTTTTGATCTCAAGTGTTTCGGATAAGAGATACTCAACTTGTAATGCCTGCCTCCTGGGACCATACATCTTTTCTCTATGAAGAGGATACTGAAGCCTCAAACATCTGGTCCCTTTAAATCTCATACTTTGTGTACGGCTTCCACGTTTATGCACATTAAATATATTCTCTATGCCTTTTTCTCCTGTGAATCTGCCTTTTGTAGCTCATTTATGGCAAACCTTTACAGCGGGGAAGAAAATATTTGCCTTCACCCCTACAAGTCGTTAAGGCTTCCAGGCAATATCACTGAACAGCTCCTGACGGACAACTCCTAAATCTAATATATTCAATGAGTTCAGAACATATCTTCACGGATAATGGTAACACAACAATTACTTCACTTCTTCAGCTTCACAAGGGTTTTCGTTATGGACATTTGATACCACAGACCTATACAAAACAGTTGATGACTAGTTTACAAAAAAATAAATCTCTCTGGGAATAGTATCATTCACATTAAAAATTCCACAACGTATCACTTTGAAAGGCTGTTTTGTCCCCGTGAATGATTGTCCACAGCAGCCCAGTCTCCAAATAATTAAACTGATTGACTTGGATCTGTTGCTAGAAGTTGAATTCATGTTTTTAAAAAAAAATCCAGCCATTTTGTGAAGTTCTTGTCATGATTTCTTCTTTACATTAGAAAACCAAACTGCTTCACCTCCAGGGAAAAAAATAATATTAGCTCTTGTCATTTACAGTTCTCAGCATCTTTCATCTGCGTGTCACAAGGTTTGTTATAAATACCAAAAGAATAAAACATGTTATAGTCGTGACTGAGGAGAACTTGAACTTCACCTCATTTCATAATAAATAAATAGAGATAAAGAACACTGTGGTGCCTCAGTGGCATAGGACCAACTCACAGCAGAATTGACAAAGTTAAATTTTGATTCTCAATTCCTTTTTCTCATGAATTTCAGTTTTATTATAATTAGCTTTATTTTCTACACAATTTCAGAACAACAAAAAAGAGGAAAAAGAGGAACCTCTCTACTTATCACTCTTATTATTTTTTAAAAGTAAGTATAGTGGAGAAACAAAAACAATTGTATCATCTCCTTGGAATAGAAATTGTGTTCGTTGGTTAAAGTACGAAGCATTTTGGGACCTTCAATGTACCTCCCACGCTTGCATGAACACGCATACACAGACACCCACACAAACACACACAAGGAGGTCTGGGGAGTTCTTTCCCCACTGAACAGTATGAGAGAGGAGTGAAAATGAAAAACACACACACACACACACACAAAACAGGCTTTACATATCCCAGTAAAGCTATTCCACATCCAAGATAAGTGTGCAAAAAAAAATCCCACCAACTTACACAGTAAATGGAAGCCATTCAGAGTATTAAAGCCTGCTCGAATATAAGCAATTGATGCCAATATTCTTACATATACATATACATGAAAATTCTTTTTATATTGAAGTGAGTTGCATTTGGTAGAACAAGAGAATCCTAAATTACAATTTTCCATGAATTAATATATCAACATAAATATATTAATTATTGTTGTCTAACAATAACAATGTAAACATATTTATATATAGGGTTTGTTTATACCTCTGCATTGTTAGATTATCTAAACATTGGCTACTGGTAATCAACGTTACTTGCTAAAATATGGAAAATATTTCAGCAAAATCTTTATATTTTTTCTTTTGTTACATGTAGCTGTCAAGCCTGTTTTCAGGTTTTAGTAGTTTAATTTCTTTTAATGTTTCCATAGAAATAACATTAACAAGATGATAGATTGGAGGTAATAACATGATGCCTCTGACATGCAGTAGAATTTATCTTCATCATATGTCTGATAATATCCTCTTATTGTGTAATGAACCCTGCTATTTGTATCTATCATACTTTTACTCATTCATCTTCTTAGCTACTAAAGATAGAATTTTCATCCAGTCTCTGTTATAAATGCAAATTTATACTCTTCTATATGTCCTTCATTATTAGTGGTCACCTAATAAATTGGCTTTTCATATACCAGTTCAAGTGGCATTAGCTGGAATGCATATGATGACCTAGACTCATTTTATATATCAATAATCTCAGTTGCAGGAGAAATTATTGTAATTAATCTTTTTGGCATGTCTGCAGAATGTCAAGAACTACAAACACCTTTCTACTTAAAACATCCGCGAGGGTAGAATCTGGGGGAGAGAAGTATGGAATGAGATGGAAACTCTGACATCTACTTTGAGACCCTGGAGGTTTCTGAGTGAAGGATCCATTCCAAAAGCCCTCCTTTCCCCTTTCTCTTCTCTTTTGTCTTTACATTTTCACTGTATTTATTCATAGCTTGCTCTTGGCTGGCAAAAATGGAGAAAGAAGCAGGAAGTGGGTATGTATGCTTTCTGGAATTCAAAAGATATGAGTTATAATTCTAAATTTGTCCCTGGCTAACATGGATTGATTGCTTATATTATTCGCTTTCAGTTATACACTGTTTCTCCATCTTTCCATGAAAGAGTTGAAATCGAACATGAAGGGCCTGCTGTGTTACAAGAGAAATACAAGTCTCTTGAGATTTAATAATAAAATCACTTGACTCCCAGCTTTCATAGAGCCTGCATTCTGCATGGAGAACCAGCTAAGGAAACAAAGTTTTACTTATCATAAATTAAGTCAAAATAATTTTATGGTAGTCCAACAAAGAACTACTGAAGACCTGTGATGTGTCATCTGTGAGCTCACAATATGCCAGGGACAAGCTGGAGTTAAGGAAATGAGTACATTAAAATGAATTAAGCACTGTAAAGTTTAGAACAGCTATCCCTTCTGATAGAGGAAAGATTGATAAAGGAATGGCGAATTCTGTTGTTTGGTGGTGGATCAAAAAAAGTTTCGCAGAGGAGACACTGAAATATGAGCATGTGTTTAGCAGAAGAGAATGGCAGAGAAGGAAAGACATGTCCAAAGGGTTGGGAAGCTTAGGGAAAACTTTCAGAAGAGATTTAGTGAGATAAAGGTCAGGAAGAAGATGGGACAGGTTTGTTACTTATCTATTTATTTAGCAAACAGAATGGATCATTTACTTACATATCCCCCAATATAGGATCCTATTTTTGTAACTTATGCAGCTAAAAAAGTGGTAATGTATTATTAATATATTACATAGAGAATCTGATATGAGAAAGATGATAACATGTTGAAGTTAAAAATAAAAGAACTACAAAAAATCAACAGGCTAGATAGGAACATAATGGCAGCTTGAGTCTACCTCTTCTCAATTTGTTTTTCTAGAAATCATACCAAATAAAAGAAACGACAATAACACAACAAAAACACTCACACACAATAAATCTATAACGAAATAGAAGAGAGAAAAAATGCAAACTCAAAATGTCATGCAACGTAGCCCAAAGTTCCTGAGATCAGCAAAACCTGCACAAGAAACTGAGACAAGAGTTGATGCAGAGAAGAGAAGGATGGCTGGGAGGTCAGGGGCAATGGGACCACATTTTAGCAACCAAAGTCAATTTTGATATCTTGAAAGAGAAGTCTCCACCCTGACAAGGATTGCCATGGACTAGGTGGAAATGGAACGTGGAGCACTGACTGAGGAAGAGTATAAAACAATGCTGCAAAAAGGGCATTCATGGAGGACAGGGAAAGGGCAGAGTTAACCCAGTGTGTCAAAACCTTGGAACACAGGCTGTCACCTATTAGCATCAGCCAGTGATAGAAGGCCTCTGAAAACAAAGTAGATTCTGAGAGGCAGCATTGGCCTAAACACACATCCAAGCTATAGTATTAGCAACAATGTAGCAATCGAGGAGCCCCGAATGGAGAGATCTGGAAAAGCACCTTTGTTCCTTTCCCCTTTCACATTAATTTTTTGCTAATCGCTGGTCCTGAAAAATCCATTTCTTCAAATATAAGTAACCACAAATAAATCAACTCAGAAACCAAACAAAGATACTATTAAAAAAAAATCAGGCCAGGCGCAGTGGCTCATGCCTGTAATCCCAGCACTTTGGGAGACTGAGGCAGGCAGATCACAAGGTCAGGAGTTCAAGACTGGCCTGGTCAATATGGTGAAACCCCGTCTACTAAAAATACAAAAATTAGCCAGGTATGTTGGCGGGTGCCTGTAGTCCCAGCTACTCACGAGGCTGAGGCAGGAGAATCACTTGAACCTGGGAAGTGGAGGTTGCAGTGAGCCGAGATAAGGAAGTACAAATTTTTATTAATGAAAAAATGATGCCACAAAGTATATAAAGATTATAACTCAGTATCTTAACATGAACTTTTTAAAAATTAATTTAAAAATGCTGAGGTAACATACAAACACAAAGCAGAAAGGCAAGATATAGGAAAGTTGGTGGCCAGATAATACCAGGAGATGGTAAAACAATGACAGGACATTAAATGGGAACAGGTAGAAATTGAAAAAAAAATAGGAACATGTAAAAATGATTTCAAAAATATTAACCTACAAGGTGCCTACAGATAAAGAGATACCAATGAAAATACACCAAGGGATACATAAACACACAAAAAAATGAAGAAAGTGGAAGTGAAACGATAAATTATAAAAATTTGGAGAGCAAATGATAGATATAAAAGCAGAAAGAGATCTAACATATGCATGATGAAGTTCCTTAAGAAAACATTAATAGAATACAAAAATATTTTTAAAATGTGCTGAATGTCCCTGTGAGTTTCTGCTTCCACTCCCCAAACTTAACCACTGTGGCCACTGACAAATGATTATAGAATTTAGGAATATCAAAGTCAGTTTCTTGCGTCACATCAGGGCAACTGGGAAGCATACTTTACTTCTTAGAATTATCATGTGGGAAATGGCTGAAGCCTACCTCTGCAGGACTTTTGCCAGTGATTACATTCTATCTTGCTGCTTCTCCTTTCTTTGTTCTGCTTCCCCTACTCTCTTCCCAGTCTTGCCTGCCAACATTTCCTTAATAAATGACTTGTACAATAAATTGACTTGTACTCACTATTCTCAAAGTTAGCTTCTGGGGAACCTGATTAAAGCAGATGCCGAAAGTACCTTCAACATTACTTGCTTGATTTAAAAGAAAAAATCTAGCCAATAAAATACAACAAAATGTCTCTTATTATTATACAATATAACTATCTCAGTCAAAAGCCAGCATCATATATAATGGGAAATTGAAAAACCATTTATACTAAAGATAGGAATTAGACAATAATATCCGTTATCACTAATATTATTTAGTGATAATAATATTATCTTCAACATTACAGGAGAACACAATTAGTAATGCACAAATTGGAAAGAAGAAGCTACAACAGCTACTATTTGTTGATAATTTGATTGATCTGGAAAACCCAACAGAACTGAAAACCTACTATAAAAGGAAAGAGAAACACTGTGATTCAAAAAAATAATAATACTATATAGAAGCCAACAACATTCGATTATACAAACAAGTAGCATGTATATATATAATAAAAATATACACACAGTTTGTATAATATGATATATATTATAAACTACATGTAACAGTTTATAAAATAGTCTAGAAATCAAACCAAATAAAAGAGAGAACTATGACAAGAACAACAAAAACACTCACACAAAATAAATCTATAATGAAATAGAAGAGAGAAAAACAGCAAACTTGAAATTTCATGCAATGTAGCGCAAAGTTCCTGAGCTTTGTTTTCTGTTCCTGTTTGTTTTCTAACACATTAATTGGTATCTTCTCTTTCAAGATATCAATATTTACTTTGGTTGCTATACATATAGTATGTGTATATATCTATATATATGCACAGTTTGTATAATGATATATATTATAAACCATATATAACATATATACACATATGCATGTATATATTAATATATACATATATACACAGGTATACATTAATTTTAATATATGTATATATTAATATACATATACATATGTGTATGCATGTTATATATAGTATTTACATATTAATATACATGTCTAGCAATAATTAAGTATTCATATACACATGTATATACAGAGAGAAGCAATGAAAAGTGTAAAATATCTGAGTCTTTATAAGAAATGTATAAAAACTATGTGAAGAAAAAAATTCAAACTCTACTGAAGACTCATAAATAAATTGTTCAATTAGAATGTTCTTAAATAGAAAGATTCATAGTTACAAATGTAAATGAAAACACCTGTCCAGTAAAAAAGTAGAACATATCAGACTAAAGAAAAACGTATGATCTCACCTTATGCTGATTTTAGGCAATGACATTAAATTTAAAAATACAGATTTGTTGAAAGAAAAAGAAGATATGCCATATAAAGAGGAAGAATAGAAAAATTGTAGTGGCTATATTAGTATCAAATAAAGTTGACATTATAGAGAAAAGAAGACATGTCAAAATGATAAGATTATTAAGTAATCAAGAAGACGTAGCAATGCTAACTGTGCAGACACTTCACTTCAAAATACATTAAGCAGGATTTCCACTTCTGGGAAGATGGAATATATGTACTTTTCTCTATTTCTCTTGCTAAATACAACTAAAATACCTGGAAATTATAGATACAACAAATGTAAGAAGATACTGCAAGGTGGAGAGAAGATGGCAGAAAGGCTAGAGGCCTCAGTATCTGAGGAATAACATGGTGGTTTCAATTGAAAATCATTCATCATACCAAAAGGCAGGTAAATCTGAAATTGAATGAAAAACGATAATAGATGACAACAGCAAGATGACACAAATGTTGGAATTATCTGGCAAGGATGTTAAAGCAGACATCATAAAATTTCTTCAATGAGCAATTATGAACACGCTTGAACAAATAAAATAGAAATAGCAAAGAAATAGAATGTCTAAGCAAAGAAATAACATATACAAGGAAGAACCAAATAGAAATCTTAAAACTAAAATAAATTAACTGAAATAAAACACTTAACAGATTGACCCAACAAAGTAATGGAGAGGACAGAAGAAAGCATGAGAGACTATGAAGCTAGAATAGAAATTACCCAATCTGGACAACAAAAAGATTTAGACCAAAAAAATAAAGAAATAAAATAAAATGAACAGAATCCCAGGGACTTGTGCAAGTACAACAAAAGATTTAACAATCTTGTCACTGGATTTCCAGAAGACAAGAATGAGTAGGGCTGCAAAGTATTCAAATAAACAATGCCTGAAACTTTCCCAGAGTTGGTCCCCAAAAAGTACATAAAGCTAAAGATTCAAGAAGCTGAGAAAATCTCTCAAATAGGATAAATCCACAGAAATCGAGATCAAGAGATATATCACTGTAAAACTTTTGAAAAGAAAAGGAAAAAGTCTTGAGGGCACTCAAAGGAGGAGAAAAAAGAAAAAAGGAAGGAAGGAAAAGAAGAAAGGGAGGGAAGGAAGAGAAAAGAGGAAGGAAGGTAGAGAGAAAAAAACGGGAGGGAGGGAGTGTTGGGAGAAGGAAGACAGCAGAGATCTCATCAGATACCACAGAAGTCAGAAGGAAATGACACACATTTTTCAAGTGCTGAAAGAAAAGAATTGTCAACTCAAAGTTCTATGTCAATTAAAAATATCCTGGCCGGGCGCGGTGGCTCACGCCTGTAATCCCAGCACTTTGGGAGGCCGAGACGGGCGGATCACGAGGTCAGGAGATCGAGACCATCCTGGCTAACACGGTGAAACCCCGTCTCTACTAAAAATACAAAAATTAGCCGGGCATGGTGGCGCGTGCCTGTAGTCCCAGCTACACAGGAGGCTGAGGCAGGAGAATGGCGTGAACCCGGGAGGCGGAGCTTGCAGTGAGTCGAGATCGCGCCACTGCACTCCAGCCTGGGCGACAGAGCGAAACTCCGTCTCAAAAAAAAAAAAAAAAAAAAAAAAAAAAAAAAAAAAATCCTTCAGGAATGAAGGAGAAATCAATGCACTCTGTAATACAATAACCTTTAAAATATGTAAAATGTATATAATAGTATATATTTTCACTGAATCATAAAAGTAAGTATGTGACATTTTTGCTTTGCCCTGGTAAAGGCATCATTAAACTGCAAATACTTCATTATTCTTAATCTTTAAAATAACTATTATTGCTTTTTAAAATTATTAAAAATATTTCATTAATGACATATAACTAATGGTTATGCTTTTCCTTGATCTTTTAAATTACATACACTGAGAGCTGTTTCGTGTAACACACTAACACTTCTCTGTGATAGTACAGATACAAACATGCTATTTATAAAAGTTAAAATTTTCAGATTTTTTTTCAAGAAATTTGGATACTTTGTGAAAAATAAAATTAATAATTACAATAATAAATCAAAATTAAAATAGCCCTAGAAAGATCCTAGGATTCAGAATAGTACAGTAACAGGCAAGAGAGCAAGACTGAACAGAATCCTGTGGCATAAATTCACAGTATTTGTCTTGGATATCATGATCATCCAGCGCCAAATGGAATTTTCTATGCACTACAACATGTATTGATGTATCCCTTTCTCCCTGGTAAAAATATTGCACTTTCTCTTTGGTTGCTATGTACATGAAACTGGTTTCCAGGGTTTCCTGGGCTTGCAACCAGATCTATATGCATCCATCACCAGGATCATTAGGGGAATTTGCTCCTGCCCTAGTTTTTGGGTTGGTCTCGTTCCACACCATTATTCATCCCAACCTTGACCGTTCCTGAGACTTAATAATTTTGCTACAGTTGTTCTTTAGTAAGAGGCAAATAAGCCAATTATACTGTATGACACCAAATTTCTCAACTTATGTTGCAAAAGATTTTAACAGCTTAGCATAGAAAAAGTTTTTATTCAAATAAATGACTCTTGGACACTGCTTTCTCCTTCTATGGGAATCTTAAAGCCTGACAAAAAAGTCCAGCTATCCTGTGTTCGTCCTGACAGTACAAAGACTGGAAGAGATTGTAGCTGGAGATAACTGAGAAACCTGTTGCTACTAAACTCTCTTAAACAGTGTAACGACGCCGGGCGCAGTGGCTCACGCCTGTAATCCCAGCACTTTAGGAGGCCGAGGTAGGTGGATCACAAGGCTAAGAGTTCCAGACCAGCCTGGCCAACATGGTGAAACCCCGTCTCTACTAAGAATACAAAAATTAGTCAGGCATGGTGGCACATGTGTGCCTATAATCCCAGCTACTTGAGAGGCTGGGGCAGGAGAATTGCTTGAACCTGGGAGGTGGAGTTTGCAGTGAGCTGAGATCACACCACTGCACTCCAGCCTGGGCAACAGAGCAAGACTCCGTCTTGGAAAAAAAACAAAAACAAACAAAAAACAGTGTAATGAGTGATTTCCCAATACACATAAAGTGGTTTGAAGAACTAAATTTATCATCCAAACAATGAAAGCTCTGAAATTTACATTTGAGGAGAAGATACATTTTAGGATTTTAGCATTCAAATTTTTAGTATACGGTCTTGAAGCTGTCAATACACTGGATCTGCCTTCCATCTCTCTTGACTATACTTTATAGTCAGAGGAGCTTGCTGATATGGTTTTCCTGAAATTATAAAGATTCCTTGAATTTTAAGTCAAATAAAGACTTTTCTTGAAAATTTTCTTCCTCTGGAAAACACATTCTTCTTTCTTGTTTTTTTTAAGCAGACCATCTTCAAAATGAATTAAAGGTCCAGAAATTGTAAAATTAATTCTTATAAATTAGAAGTTATTTGTTGATGAGATTATTTTTTATCTTGTATTTTATACAATATTTATTTTAATACAGTAGATTTTTCACCCAGATTTGGCTTCTATGTAAGAAAATAGTCAACCACAAGTGATTACAATGGTTGACTGTTTTCTTACATAGTAGCCAAATCAGTGGATAAAAAATGCACAGTATTAGAAATGAAGAAGGGATTTAAATATTTAATCATTTTATTATTTTTTTCTTGAACATTAAACTCACTAAGGAGCTGCATCAAGGTTGTGCTTTGTGTCACCACTCCACCATCCCTGGAGAAATTCATAGCACCTCTATATTGTGGTTGCCTCAACACAACTAACTAAGGAAAACCCAACTTCCGCCAGAACTGCAGGAGCCATTCCTGAAATTCACATATGCAGTATCTTCAATGAAGGAGAGAAGACACTGCCCAGGGAGGTCTTTGCCTTTGGTCTGGGCACACCATCTTCCTCATGACATATCTGGTGGGAGCATCATAAATGTTCATAATTTATTGAGTGAAAAACTACAGCTATGGAATACAATTATTTATTTATTTTAGCAAGGCCTGAGGAAATTGAACATCGACGGGACAGAACAAGTGTCTGAATTGGGCCCCAATAACTCACTGTGATTTGCATTCATGTAAACACCTACATTTTTTCGTTAACTGAACTGATTTAACTGCTAATTAAAACTAGTCAGTAAGCACAATGCAAAATTAATTAAACCATTTAGTGGAGAGATTCAAATTAGTGAGAGCAATGCATTGGACACTATGAAAGCAAGTGCAATTGCTACTTGTCATCAGGCAAAATCATTCTGAGGCTAAGTGCGTTCCCCAGGGAGAAACATGAAGGAATAAAAATCGTCTTGTTGATTGTATGATCTTTTATTAAGCAAATGTGCTAAATTTCAGCTTATCTTTTAAATAGAAAAACTAGAGTCCTATGGTTAACAACCACTAAGAACATCTGTGAAGTAGGAACACTATTTATAGTAAAACTGATCATTTTTCAGATTTTATAGTTAAAATTTTAAGCCATGTGATATAGGAATATTGCTTGTCTCACCTAACAAAATAAGTCAAAAAACTTCTTTCCATCCTCAATCTGTCAATTCCAGACAGTCTTTTATTTAATAATAGTCTTCTGCTTAAGAGGTGACCACTTCCATTGCCAATAGATATATCATTTTGACATGCTGGGCGTTCTTTATTTTCTTAAAATTTTTTTCATCTGACCTTGGATGATTTTCTTTTTTGAGTAACTTCCCACAAAACATATGGGATATCAGTCAAGGGGAAAATGAAAACTTTTTTCTTAATGCTCAAAAATAAATAGATAGATATTTCAGTAATCTTTCTTACCTCCTATGAATGCTGGTGATATCTATAGACATTTCTTGTATGTCAAACTCTGTTACTGTCTGTCACCTTACATGAGGTAATTTTGCTTGGGGAAGCGTCTAACCTATGTAGACACCAGTTGTGTTCAGAACTGAGATAATCATGTAATCTACATTCTCTAAAGAAGTGCAAAGTGTATATACACACAAACACAGTCAAGCTTAATGACAGGGATATGTTTTCAGAAATGTGTTGTTAGGCAGTTTCATCATTGTGTGAAAATCATTGTGTACTTACACAAAACTAGATGGCATAGCTTTCAACACACCTAGGCGATATGGTATAGTCTATTACTCCTAGGCTACAAACCTGCACAGCGTGCTCCTGTACTGAATACTGTAGGCAGTTGTAATACAATGGTATATATTTGTGCATCTAAACATAGAAACGGTACAGTAAAAATACAGTATTACAACCTTATGGAACCACCTTCGTATATGTGCTTCTGACCCAAATGTCATTATGTGGCTCATGACTGAATATACATACAAACACGTTGGTTTTCTGCTTTAAGTACTATTGCTAGCATACCCTATATGATCAAAAATGTATTATGACCATTTTTTAAAAAGAATACTAGATAGGATTTTCCATACTGAAACACAATGACCTTTTTAAAGACAAGTGAATCTGGATTCAGATTCAACAGTGTTTGTTTTGTATACTTCTGATAGGATCTCTGGAATCAAAGAAGTTTCTAAATACACTTCCATAAAAGTGGAGTTAGAGAAGGCAGATCCTAGCGAAACCATGGTAAAAGAACCAGACTCACTGTGATCAGCATAATCAATGGCGAAAGAAGGAATTTTGAATTTATAACTAAAACAAATTTATCAAGAACCAACTCATTTAGTGTAAAGGAAACCTGGTCTTTATAGTTCCCCTAGCCAGGGAAGAAAATACTCTTTCATAAGTTACAACTTGCTGATTGGTAGATTTCCTTGCATGGAAAATATTGGCCATGGGATCTTGCCATCTGTTTTTCTCTAGACTATGAGATGGATTTTGAGCCTTTCAACTATGCAAAATACACCTTGGCCATGAAGTTTATCCCCCATCTTTTGCAGCACATCTAGTAACCACCTTGACTTTCCCCATACTTGAATTATACCATGAAAACAGCGCAAAAATAAGAATCCATGGTAGCCTGTGGGAACCTATAGTAACTCGTATTCCACCCCTATTCAATACCTGTTAATTCTGGAAATGAGATTGGAGTAGGGTGTGGAGAAGGTAGTGTCAATATACCAGATTTGAAAATGTGTTTCTGTTAGATCCCTCCAATAATATCACCAAGGTCACAAGAGCCAAAAGGCTGTAATGTCCTTAAATATGCTTTCAAACCACAGTGTATTGAAGATGTAAGGCTACTCCCTTTCTTATCCTAAGAATATGTTGTGTTGAATGAAGTTATGTTCTTCACAATAATCCTCATGGAAACAGACCTACAATAATAATCTTCAAGGAAATTGGGCAACTGATCAATTGCAAGTTCTCTAATTGTTTATTTAGAGAAGCACTCTAATGTATCAGTGCTAGGCAATTATCCCGTGGCCCCACCCTAAAAGTAAACTGTCACCCTTCCATGACCTGAAAGACTAGCCATTCAAGGACAGGGATTTAGACTTGGGAGACACTGGCTCTGTCTGTCAGGGGTGTGCCGGACCTCATATAATGTGGCTGAGATGGACTTCCTTTATTCACAGCAGCTTTTTATTTTATTTATTATTATTTGCAGTAGTTTGATAGTTCTTTTTCTGTTGCAAGTAGTAGAAAACAACTTAAACTCTAACTTAAGAGAGAAAATAAAGGAAATGGGTCAGTACCTTAACTGAAAAGTACAGAAGTAGCAGCAAATCCCTTAAGCCCTGATGAATCCAGGTTCAAATAGTGCCATCATGTGTTTATTTCCTGTCACCTTCTCTTCTCACTCCCTCTCCCTCTCCCTGTCTTTCACTCCTATTCCTTATTTCTCTTCAGTTCATTAAGCTCTGCTTTCCTCTTTTCCAATCAGGATCTCTCCTCTGTCATTCCAAGGCTCACACAATCCTCAAGGGCCATAATCTCCAAAAGAAGGAAACCTACCTCTCTCTCCTAGAATCAACATCAATTCCCTCAACAGTCTTTTGCTGGAGAATTCCAGGTAATGTGCTCAGGTCTTTGACAAGGATGGCAGGGCCCTTGGATGGATAGAATATCCCCCACAGGTGGGAAGGGGAAAATCCTCAAGCCAAAGGAAGATACCAGATGAAGGGAAAGGGACGCCAGGCAAGAACACAACAATAGACATTCACTGCACAAGGATTTTGATAATGAAGACACCAAAGAAATAACGAATTGGAGTTAATTCGTTGCAGAAAGTATAAAGTAGGAGAAAGAGAAGGAGGTGTCTGAAGACTGAGATTCTGGTGCTGATTCCACTGTTAAATTTGAGAGCAAAATTTTTGCCCCTTCTGGGTCTCTGTTGTTTTTTCTTATAAATGGTGACTCTGGTTGAACTAATCTTTAAGAGCATTTTTTAAAAAAAGAAAAATAATATGCATATAATTAATTCTTGCTTTATGAAAGTATCTCTGACATGGGCACAAAAAAATGGAGAAGCCTCTGCCTCCTCCTCTGTTCCCATCTTCTGTTCATACTCTGTATTCTGTTCACACTCCTGTGCTTATGTTTTAATTGTCAAAAAGGGTCCGGCTTTGAAAATGTTAGGATGTATTCAACAGCTCTCTCTTCAGCTTTCTCTTTCAAATGTGTCAGCAGGCCACAGATAATCACTGATTGTACTCACTCTTTTGCTAAAGGACTCTACTTCTGGCTAAGACAGACATACACACACACACACACACACACACACACACACACACACTCACACTCACACATACCCACACAGGAGAGCTGTGTTTTCATAAAAATTCATGGCAATGTGTTTAGAAAATTTAGGTGACAACATTCTCAAAGACTGGTCATTCTTTAATTTTCAAGCACATTTTATTTTAGTCAGTATTATTGGCTGGATTTTGTACCACCAAAATTCATATGTTTAACCCCCCAGTGCCTCAAAATATGACTGTGTTTAGAGGTGGGATCTTTACAAAGGTGATTAGGTTACAATGGGGTTATTCTGGTGGGCCCTAATCCCATCTAACTGGTGTGTTACAAGAGGAGATAAGGATGCAGACACAACAGAGAAAAGACCATGTGAGATGCAGGGGGATGATGGCCACCTACAAGCCAAGGAGAGGGTTGCAGGAGAAACCCACCCTGCTGACACCTTGATCTTGGACTTCCAGCCTCCTCAACTGTGAGGAGGTAAATCTCTGTTGCTTCAGCCTTCCCGTCTGTGGTAGTTTACAGCTGCCCCAGCAAATGAATGTACCTAGTAAAACTGTAACAATGGGAAATTATTTGCAAATTTGGAAAATTTGTTTGTAATGAATGTCATAGGTCTTATTTTTTGTAAAATATGGGTGAATGCCCTGTTAATTCTATTAGCAAATAGGAAAGTGCTTTAAATTATATATAAAGAGAGTATGTCTGTGAAATGAACGCTATTTCTCAAGCAGCACTAGGTAAAACCCATGAAATCAGTATTGTTTATAGAAAATGAGTGTCTCATTAGTGACACGTTGAGGGTACACCTAGCTAATAAAATTTCTTCTACTATAGTTAGTATAATTCCTATACACTACTTGGTATAATTCCTCCAAAGAAGGCATTGGGGGCTGCAGGAGTTCTTTAAATAAATCTTCAATAAATGTAAAAACACAGAAGCCCACAAACTTAAAATCTTCCCCCACATTGTTCTAAGAGAGAAGGAGAGTAAAAAAAGTATTTTAACTTGATTAAAAATTTCCTTTTCTTATTGCTTTATTTTTTCCTGTCTTCAGTCCTTTATTTTTTTCACATAAGATGCCATACAATTTCACAAAACTATCCAAATTATCCTTTTCTATAGACTACCAAGCATTGCATATATTTCACTATTATGATTCATAGTGACGATAATTTGATTTTCCTACACCTTAATCTCTGTAACTTTAGTTCTAGCATAACTTCACCATGGTGATTCTGAGAAAATAACAGCCTTAACTACAGCTTATGTCTACAGCCTACAGAGAGAAGACAGTGCAATATGAGATTGAAATATAAATGCTGCTATTCTGGATGATAATTGTGATGGCAATAAATTATTTTCCACACTCAAAGCATACAAATGTGTGTACATATATGGGGAAACCAACTTGAAAGACTTCAGATGCCTTATTAAAGTTCCTGTAATTAACAGCATTTTTTAAAAACATGTTTGGAGAAGTTCCAAGTTGTAGCAAGTCAGAAAAAAATTGTGGAATAGATTAGCAGCACTAAATACGCATACACATATATAGACACAGAAACAGTTCACTAACTCACTCATGATTCATTCTGGACCAAAGTGCTTATGGAGTTACTTTGAAAGAGTAGATTTCTGAAAACAATTTTTAAAAACTACAAAATTATGCTTATATAAGTGCATCTTCATCAAGAAACTATGAATCGTGTATAAAATAAGATATACACTGAGGCAATACACTAAAAATGAGCATTAATTATGTAGAGGACTTCCGTGATTTTGAACTGGCAAGTCAGTGAATTGAAATCCCAGAGGATGTGAAAATAGAGTTTCAAGCTGCTTCTGATTACAGGATTCTGACATGACCATTGGGTATAAACTGTATTTATATACTGTTTAAAATATAAACTGTATTTTATTTTCTAAGCAGAGCTTTGGTTTGGTTTAGTTGAATTTTGATAACCAGATTCAATGATGTGTAGGTTTATTTTTATATAAACAGGCTACTCCTTCCTACACCCTAACTATAGGGCTTCTGCCATTAGAAGCCAAGATTCAAATGCCTCTGTCTTTGTTACTCTGGGGAACAGCTGCATCTTCTCAGCCCCAAGGGTTTATGTAGGTTCTTAGGCAACTATGGCTGTAAAGATGGAGAACAGTACGAGGGTTGGGGGGTTGGAGATTAGCAAGCCTTTCTCCCTGCTAGAAACTCCTTGCTGGACACATCTTTCAGAGTTGAGCTCATATCATCCCCTCTCCTCTCCTGTTATACACGCAAATAAGAACCTATCAGGCCAGGCGTGGCGGCTCATGCCTGTAATCCCAGCACTTTGGGAGGCCAATGTGGGTGGATCACTTGAGGTCAGGAGTTTGAGACCAGCCCGGCCCACATGGTGAAACCTCATCTCTACTAAAAATACAAAAATTAGCTGGGCATGTAGCAGGCTCCTGTAGTCCCAGCTACTCAGGAGGCTGAGGCAGGAGAATTGCTTGAACCTGGGAGGTGGAGGTTGCAGTGAGCCAAGATTGTGCCACTGCACTCCAGCCTGAGTAACAGAAAAAAACAAAAACAAAAACGAACAAACAAAAAAAAGTTACCAAGTACAACTTAAAGAATTTCTATAAGGCCTTTAATGCTGCAAAATATCTCTCCCACATTTACTGAGCCTGAGGCTTTATCCTCTTTTTGAAATTCTTCGTCAATTAGTTATCTAACATGCAGCTTTATTTTAATTTTTACATTTTGATTCATATTCACTTTTGATATTCAGATAATTTTTTTCTGAAGGAAGGCTACCTTTTTTTTGTATAGTGTTAGTAATTTGTGAAGAATATATACAGAAGCTGTATATAAAAGATGTCACCATTATTACACTGGTCCATAGTGACATCTGGAATTCTGCAGTCCAGAAACCTTTGTTAATCCAAAGTACTCTCATTATTCATTTGATGGGAAAACTTGACCTCATCTGAAATAAGACCATTTATTTTCCTTCTTTATCCCACTGAATAAGAATAGTCATACATTCTTCAGAAATATGACTGTGTTTTATTATGAGTTATTACCCCAGACCCTGAGTCTTGGTAAACTATGCACTGTAGTCATTTGGAGCTATCCTGTTGAAAGCTTTCAGGGTCTTCCACGTCTAAACTCCAGGAGCAATAGCTTCCCCCTGTGGCTTCCTGCTTCTATTCCTGACCCCACGCACAAGTCTGTTTCCTAATTTACAGTTACCTTAGTTATTCTTTTAAAACCAAATGTGTCCCCTCACTCTCCTGCTCGCAACTCTCCACTGATGATGAGTCTGAAGGCCCTGTCTGTGGAATACTTGGCCCTCCATGAGCTGACCTAGTTCACTCTCCTCCCTCCTCTCTCACCATAGCTCCACAGCTCAATAACCCTCTTGCTGTTTGTCAAACCATCTCAGGCACATACTTCTCCCAGGACATTGCACCTGCTGATACCTCTGCATGGGAAGTTCTTCTCCTAGATGTTAATAGGGCTCTCTCATTCCCTTCACTGAATTGCCATTGAAATTTTACCTCCTTAGACTGTTGCTCCCAACCCTCCTGAAATAGCCTTGCGTACCTCCCCCTTGTACCTTCCATCCCTGTGTCCTGCTTTACTTCTTGTTATCACTGGTCACTACCTGTCTCCATGTATGTATGTGTGTATATAACAGGGTTTTCTTTTAGTGTATGTATGTATGTATGTATGTATGTATGTATGTATGTGTGTATATAACAGGGGTTTTTTTTTTAGTGTTTTACTTCCTTTACTAGAACATTACCATCAATCATGAGGTCAGGGAATGCCCCTTGTTTAACTCTTTATCCTCAGATTCTATAAAATGCCTCACAAATATGAAGTTTTTAATAAATAAATAAATCTAATTGGTAATAATTATATTTGATATTTATTTTGATCTGTGCATGTATTCATTTATCAATAGTATTTATTGATTTGTTTGCATGAGTAGTTTTTTGAGTCAAAATTAATTCTTTCCTTAAACTGTAGCCAGCCCTGTCACCTTATCAAAACTGCCACAAAATCTAATGAAATCAAAATTAAACAAAACTACATTATATATTTTCATTCAAAGGCATCATTTCTTGATAAGATCTGAAGAGCCAAAACAAAAGCAAAAGTAATCAATCAAAGCTATTTCCTGCAGAGACAGCAACCAAAGTAGCTTTCTTCTTTGGGGTTATTTTGTTAAGTACTTCATCTTAAAATGTCTAACATTATGCAATTACTATCTCAAGTATTTTAGCACGCTATCTTTTATTGTGAATCTACAGATCTATAATAAAATGTTATCTCCCTTATAAGTGGCGCTTGTCAATAGGGTCGTCTGATCTTAATACGAGATGCACAGCAACGTAAAACTAAAGACTTAGGTACATCCTTTCTTGCAGAAGTTTCCGTCTTATACTTCCTGGTGGAATCCCAGGCAACAAAAACAATAACAAAGCAATAGGAGGTGCTGTACCAAAGTAAAAGAATAAATTTGAAATGATAAAACTTCTAGCTAAGCCATTTACAATATTTTTTTTTTGCATTACAGAATAATCCAGGTGGGGAAACGTGGCTAAGAAAATAAATAACTTACATGTGACAAATGCAGACACAGGTGACTCATCTTTTTCATAAATGAGTAAAATACACTGTAAGTCAAGGCTTAGCATGTGTGTACATGTCAATAAAAACCTCAAGTGTAGTTACTTTGCTCCTTTGTTCTGAGTAGCTCAGAGCTTTTTGTCAAGAAGAGGGTGGGGAGTTTTTTTATGATCCATTTAAAAATACATAAAACTGGAAGTAAAAAACAGATGACATGACTTGGCACAGACAAGGGAAGAGGAGCAATTAAACTATTATTTTGCAAGTAAAATTAATTATTGCCAAAAGTCTACAGGGATATTTCAGAAATACTATTCTTCACCTCAGTTCTCTACTGATTTTTCCAGCATGGGGAACACCTATGTCAATCCACATCCTGAATTCTAAGTTGGGTCCTAAAGCAATTGCACATTACAATATAAAGAAAGACATTTAGCTATAGAGAACACCCATATGTATAATTTTTGAGACCATAAAACCAAACAACATAAAGCTAACAAATATACAAACAAATTATAAGAATCCTCTAAATAGTTCAAATGCAGAAACCACTTATTTACATCAGTTATCTAACCCGCCATTGGAGCATGCTTTGCCCATGAGTTAGATATAACGAGATCAAGGAAACGTGTAAAAGGAAGAAAGAAGAAACTGGGGAAAAGCTTAAAGGAATTTGCCATTAAGAGCCTTTCAGATATTTCTTGTGTTCTACCAACTATATCTGGGGTATGTTACCCTTTATTTCACAATTAACTAGAAAGCAGTTTGGGGATGTCATTAAAGTTCATCAGAATTCCCTTTCTGTTTCAGAGAGCATGTTAATATTGCCCTTAAAAAAATCAAAAGAAAGCTGTCCCACAATTTTAGGTGTGGCAAGCCACGATGTGTTATTCAGACTCTACCATTAAGGAACTTAAACTTGGTTGGAAATGAAAGATTTACTTTAATCCATAAAACCATTAGAAAATGATTCAATTTGGTTTATATAAGTAATGTTGAATTGTGTATTTTTAAAGAGGGATTTTTGGACATAATGAATAGAGATTGCTGCTGTTTTCTTATAGATTCAACTCGACTACTCTTTAAAAATCAAAATTTCTTTCTATTTTCCCAACGTCTCCTTTTCAATTTAATTTGGTCTTATGATCCAGAAATTCGGAATTGTTCATTATTTATGCCTTTTATTAAAAATGTATCCCTCTGTTTGAGAGGCCGAGGTGGGTGGATCACGAGGTCAGGAGATCGAGACCATCCTGGCTAACACGGTGAAACCCCATCTCTATTAAAAATACAAAAAATTAGCCGGGCGTGGTGGCGGGTGGCTGTAGTCCCAGCTACTCGGGAGGCTGAGGCAGGAGAATGGCGTGAACCTGGGAGGCAGAGCTTGCAGTGAGCCGAGACCACGCCACTGCACTCCAGCCTGGGTGACACAGCGAGACTGTCTCAAAAAAAAAAAAAAAAAAGTATCCCTCTGTCTCTTAGGTCTATTTTAAAAAGTACCCTTTCCTTAAAGTCTATCTAAATTTCCCAACTGGATACGATCATGTTACACTTTTGTACTGCCTGTAGATACTGGTAGATGTGAAACTCATTTTTCTGGCACTGACTGTATATAATAGAGGAGGCCAAACTCAAGAGCAGTTTAAGTAGCACATCCCAACAAGACAATAGCACATGTAGTACACTGAGTGATTAATAACAAGTCAGTGCCAAGTTCCTTAAATAGTAATGAGCTTTTATATTTCTTTAAAAGTTGCTCTGAATTGAAGCATTTGGAAGCAGAATGTTAAAATGTTTTTTTGAGATTTATACTTTCTACCACGATAAAGAAACAAGATGAGTTTTATCTTCTTGCCTTAAATAAATACAAGCTCAATGAATACATAAATGAAAAAATTTTTCAAATATTAAGCAGTAGGTTATCCTTGAGAAAAAGAAACAACAACAAAAACAACAACAAGTGAGACCTGTGCTTTCCTGGGTACTTTCTTGGCACAGGTTACAGACTGCAGTGCAAGGAGGGAAGAGAAAAACATAGGTAAATAATTTTGTTGAGTTGAAGAGAAAGAGAGGAAAATCTGGGGAGGCCAAGGTGACCAGAATTCATGTGATAAAATACTGGAGAGTTGGATGCTGCACACAGAGAGTTCTGAAGATTCCTCTTAGGGGTTCTCTGAAGCATTTGCTGAGTACTGAACAGAACATGAATAAGAAGAGACTACCCAAAGATGAACAAAGAAGTACCAGAAATCAGTAGGCTGAAAAATTTCTGGAACACATAGAGGGACTGGGAATATTTAGTGTTTCCACCACCCAGAATGAAGAGACAACTAAATACAAGGGACATCAGGCAGTGTTCCCCATAGGATTTTAGCTTGGTATTAAAACTAAATGAGACCCAGACTAAAAGCTGCACTGGAGCATGTTAACAATCTTAGAAAAATCTTGGAAAATTCAACTTATTCCAAGTAATTTAACTTTATGCAAGAACAAACTTCAACACTATATAAAGAAACACAACAGAATCAAGCATTAAAAAATGTAAAATTCATAATATCTGGCATCCAATCAAAAGTTAACTGACATTCAAAAACACAGAAACTTATGATTCCATAAACAGGAGAACAATCAATAAATAGAAACAGAACTGGAAATGACAGCTGCTGAAATAAGACAAGGACAATAATATAGCAATTATAAATGCATTATGGATTCAAAAAGTTACAGAAAGACATGATCATCATAAGTAGATAGACGATTTTTTAAAATCTCACATGAAACATTAAAAATACAGTTTCTGAAATGAAAAATACACCATATGTGCCTACATTGCAGGAAAAAATTGCAGGGAAAAAAGATCAATGAACTTGAAAACACCACAAAAAACTATAAAAAATAAAGGACAGAAAAAAGTATTGAAAAAACACAGAAAGTGACTTGTAAAATAATGGTCTAAAATAATGGTTCACATCATCGATGTCCCAGGAGGAAGGAATGGGGTAGGAAGGGAGCAAAAAAAAATTTAAAAATTAAATTATCCAAATTTATAAAAATGGTAAGCCAATATATTAAAGAAGCTGAAAGAGCTCCAAAAAAGAACATAAAGAAAACCACACCATAAGACATCACAATCAACTTCTGAAAGCCATTGAAAAAGAGAAAAAGACCTGTTACATAGAGAAACAAAGATTAGAATAACACACTTCTTATCAGATAGCATGTGAGTAATAAAACAATTAAAAAATGGAATGATATCTTTATTGTACTCGTAGTGGAAAAACAATAAAAACAAAACAATTATTTACCCAGAAGTCTATACCCAGAGAAAATATCCTTCAAAAATAGAGGTGAAATAAAGAGTTACTGACACACACAGCAGCTAAGAAAATTTATCAGTATCAGCCCTATACTAAAATAAATGTTAAATAAAGTTCTAACAAGAGAAATAAAATGATTGAGATGGAAATTTGTATCTATAAAAATGAGTAAAGAATGCAGAAACCGGTAACTGTTTGGATAAATATATATTTCTCAATGTTTACTGTGTTTAAAAGTGAGTACTTAAAGCAAAAACAAAGAATGTATTAAGATATATAATATGTGTAGATTTAAGTTGCAAGATAATAGCACAAAGGACAAGAATAGAAAAAGAAGTGTATTGTTTAACATTCTTGCACACTATGTGAAGTGGTATAATAACATTTGAAGGTAGATTGTGATACATTTAAGATGCACGTTGAAACCCTAGAGCAAGAATACATATGTAAGATATATTGTTATTTACCCAATAATAGAAACAAAATATTCCATTATTTGAAAACAAGGCAGTGAAAAATGAAGCAAGAAACAAAGAACAGATAGAACAAATTTTTAAAATGTCAAATGTTACACTAAAACCCAACTGCATTGATTATTAAATATACGTGGTCTAAACATTTCTTTTAAAAGGCAGAGATTTTTGGAGTGGATAAAAATGTACATCTCAACTTTATGAAAGCTACTTAAACAATTAAAAGCAACTCACTTCACATATAAAAACACAGACTGATTTAAAATGAGAGTATGGAAAAAATATATATATCATACAAACACTAGCCAATAGAAATGGAAGTAGCTATATTAACAGTCAACAAAATATTTTTACTTCATTCCAATAAGAAGACTTAGAAAAAGCTTTTAGAATCAAATTCTTTCACTGGTTGGAAAATATTTTTTCATCCTTTTTAGGTAAATTTGCCTGAACTTTCTCCTCTCAGGAGAAACCTTCCATTTGCGATTCCACACATTTGGATTTATTGTCTCAACAGCCTACATCACTCCCTAGCTATAATTTAGGTATTCAACCCTAATTGGGGTAATTTTCACTCAGCAAATTTAGAGCACCACTATTGATTGCTCTATACCACTGGTCTGAAATTGGAACTTGCTACTAGGAAGTGATGAAGTTATTGAGGGAAATCTAGCCCTAGTTTCTATCATCATAACACTTAGTCACATGAATATACATATATATACATTACTATCCATGTAACAATAGACTGTCACTTCAAGGTCATTATCTTGAGATCATTATGTGGAGGTATAAACAGTTTTTAAGTTATGTTTAAGAGATTGTGAGGCTTTTCAAACAAAACCCTCCTGCCTCATCTCACCCTCCCACAAAAAAAGGGTAAAATTCAGTCTTTTTTAACTTTCAAAGAACAGCAACAACAAAACAAAAGTGAAAAGAAAAAGAAATTAAAAGATCCATCTTACAGAGAGACAGATGCAGAAATGAGGTTATTATCTCAAGTACCGGGTGGTTTTTAGCCAACAACAGAAGCATCAGTATGGGACCTCGCAAAACAGGCACACATGTCATCACTGTTAAGTAAAGTAATTACAGATTTGGCACCAGCGAAGCCTTTTTATTTGCCAAAATGTGGTGGTTTAAGCAGCAAATGATTACCACCGCTTTGAGCAGGTCTGATCATCCATCAGTTATTAATTCCCTTGGCATGCCATTGCATACCATGGCTGTATCTGGGCAAATGAGCCAGCAAGACTCCAGTTAAATTAAATTCACTTCTGCAGTCTGGCCATTCCTCAATATAGCAATTTAACTGTGAGATACAATGACTTATATGGTCTTTTTTGGTGACTGTCATACTCATCTATGTTTCTGGGGAGAATGCTTCTGATTATCTTTAATAATTTGAAAGGGGTGAAATTTGTTTCAGAAGTCATGGTATATAGATATAAAGAAAATAATTATTCTCGCTATTATAATTTCTTCTCCATTAGTATCTGCCCTGTTATATTTTCAGTGCTTGTGTACATAGAGTTTCTTGTATATTTCAAAACTTCTTCATTTTAAATGTATTATATTAGTTACATTCATCAAATACATGGTTACTATGTGTTTGTCTTAGATGATGTTCTTTTGGTAACACATTGGCTAAAATCAAATTGATACAGCATTTATCATTACCTAAATTATATTTTATACTCATCTGTTCATTTGCGCTTTTTTGTTTGTTTGCTTCTCTGTTTGTCTTCCACACTAGGGTATAAGCTCCAGGTGGCAAGAGGACTTATATGTTCATTCATCAGTGTATCAGCAGCCCTGAGAATAGTGCCTGGGTTGTAGTAAGTCTCCATAAATATCCATCAAATGAATGGATGAATGAAGATTTTCAAATTCAAGAGAAGCAACTGATATACTCATTCCCCTTTTATGATGAAAATAAATAAATATGTCAATAAAATGTATATTTTTGGCTAATCCAGGCAGCTAGTATGAAATCCTTGAAAGTTTATACTCATAAAGAAATCTACATTGCTGAATGCTTTGCACAAACATTTTTACAAATTTATTTCATTATATATGTTATAAAAAGACCTCATCTTATTACTATGGCAATAAATTGAAATGCAAAAAATTACCTTTTTCATGTTTATGCTAATCTGTAGTCCAAACATTGCTTAATAAAATGTTACTCCATGTCAAAGAAAATGATACATTTTTTTCCTCATTTTCTTATGTGGAAACACCAAAACAGATCATTCTCAATAAGTTGCAGAAATGAACAAAAATGTAATTCCTATGTTACCTTAAAGTATGACATTGTGACCAAGGTATGTATAATGTCATTAGGCATAATAAAGTACACATTCTTAATCCTAGCTCTCTGAAGAGTGTCATGTTAAGCAGCCAAGAAACAGTGCATGCACACTTCTTCAGCATAAGCTTGTTTGTACAGATGCAAATAGCGTTAGAGTGCAAAAATCTAATTTGCCAATTGGCTGTTATAGCTATGACATAATTGGTTTCCTAACTAAGCTAAACAAATGTTTCCACTCAAGAGCTTTCTCTAAGATTTCACATAAAGGCACTAACAAGGATTTACCATTTTGAGGACAAAAACGCAAGGGAAGTTGATTCCTTGTTCATTTCTGCAGAGCACTAATTCAGGGGCCTTGGTTTGAGTGGATGCAAAAATACTGTACTGCTTTCATTTCACTCTCTTTTTTTCCAGTTTCTGCTCTCCTCTTCTCTTGCAATTCTTATAAAGGATCAGTTTAGAGAAGTTCATGACAAGGCTGAATCATATGAAAGGGGATGTAAGAAGAGAAACTCAGTGATTTTTAGTGATTTTCTGCCAGAAAACACTCTAGATGCACATAGAATTTTCTCCATAAAAAGTATAACACATAAGAAAAGTTGTAATACAAAAAACTACAAGGGACTAGCAGAAGTTTTAATTTTCTATATTTCTAAAATTTATTGCACTTTCATATGTTCAAGCTTCCTAAGACTAAATGATTTTTCAAATTTTGATTAATAGCTATGTAAGACAACATAACTATACATATTCTGAATAATTTAAATTTTTACCAATGTTTGTTATAAACGCTAAATACATATTAAAGATTTTAGCCTAGCACTAATTAATGCACAATCGAATGTATTTATATTAATAAAAATATTATTATTTAATTGAATTAAGATACAAAAATGGCTGTATTTTGGTTTCTCCTTTTCAGATCAACAGTGAATGCTAATGAGTATGGCCACATATCCTAGGAAAAGTGATAAGATATATTCTAGGATCAAGAAAATTTCACTGTTCAGAAAGAATAATCCCTTTGTTCTCTTTCCCACTCATTCCATTTATGGATGAGCACACCTTGAGTCCAGTTCTGATTCTGATATGTCTATAATAATATTCTCCACACAGACCTTATATTGGAGGGTATGGAGAATATTTAAATAATGACTTCTTTTGGTGTTCTGAGGAGGACAGAAGAAGGAAGGGAAGTGGGGGAAGAGGGAGGGGAGAAGACGAGATGAGCGAATAGTATGGTGGTCATGGAGCTGTGCGGCCTGAGTCTCCTTCAAGGGAGAACTTGCTTCCCCAGCTGTGGAGTCTTCCAGGTTTGTCTTCACTACACACAGCAGATTGGTCTAAGGGCCTGCATTTTCCAGGCCAGTCCATATCCAACCATTAATCCAGGCAGAGGTGTAGAGGCCCAGCTAGTGCAGTGTAGGTCAAATCCAACGGGCCATATATTTATGTTTTCCAGAGCTCTCTAGGGAATTGATAAAGGCTTCTTTGGAGCTGGATACTGTTCAGTTTCTCCCTTTGCCTAGTCCTGTCTCCCCCACCACTGCCTCCTACAGGTTAAGAATTCCTAACAAAGACATGGCATTCCAAACACCAGCTCAGGACCTGCATCCAGAACCCAGTCTGAGGCATTCAGGGAGAGAAAAAGAGAAAACAAAGGAATGAAAGAAAGAGAAACGGGGAATAAACCCTCACATTTGTTGAACAGTAAACTATATGGCAGTCATTGAGTTAAGCATTTTACAGAAATATTTAATTTAAAAATTTAATCTTTATGGAAAAACGTAATGAGAACATAATAATTATTCTTATTTTGTACATATAGAAACTGAGACTCAAAGAGCTTTAGCAACTGTTCTGAAGTTAGATAGCTAGGAAATTGAACATCTTAGATCTGAATCCAAGGGGTTTCAAACCCCATCCACTGCATCACTCTTTTTGAGCACCTACTCTTTGCAAAATGGCTAAGTTCCTTCAAATACATTATCTCCATTAAATTTCATATTATAAACATTTTAAGCTAGTGAGACTGGCAGTATCTTGATACCAAATCCTGACATGAATATTACAAGAAAGGAAAATCATAAGCCAATTTTACTCACAAACATTATTTTGTACCATCAACAATCCTTTAAATGTATTACCTATTTACTTTCTGGTACTTTTTGCTTCTTCTGCCATTTGTATGTGTCCATCTGAGATCATTCTCCTTTCACCTGAAAAACTCCTTTTCTTATTGCTTTCAGTGTGTCTTTACTGGTGACTAATCGTTTATGCTTCTTTAGTATTTATATTTCACCTCCATTTTTAAAATATATTTTCAATGTGTTTAGAACTCTTTGTTGGTAGACATGTTTTTCTACGATCTCAAAGATATTACTTTATTGTCTTGTGGTTTCCATTTTGTGGGTTGAAAAGTTAGCCCTCGCTTTTTATTTTTGCTCCTTTGAAATCGTTAGGTAATTTAAAAAAATTTCCTAGCAGAACTTTTGTAGGAAAAATTTTATAGGCTATGAATGATGCTTCCCTTCTCCAGATGGGATTAATTTCTCTTGTAGCAAGCAGTGAATGTTGGAGCATGTCACCTTGATCTAATAAGGGATTGGGATAAACTGGGCCTGGCTTTAGTTCTTTTCAAGGGTTGATCTCTTTCTGGTGTGCCTTTATCTTTAAGGTGAAGCCTCTTCAGGAGTCTCAGCTAAAAGTGTGGACTGTTTAATAAGGCTCTCCTCAGTAAATCCCTGAATGTAAATTCTTAGCTTCTAAGTCATTGCTTATGCATAGATTTTGAAATTCTCAAAACTGGGAATCACTAAACGCCTTGAGGAGGAAAGTGGGCAGAGACTTTCGTGCTCACCTAGTTACATTTTCCTTCCCTAGGAGTCTTGACTTTTAAAGTCCCACCTGCCTTCTTTGCTTTCTGTTGCCTTCAAATTGAGAGCTATAAAGCTTAAAAGTTGTTCTCAGTGAGATATTCGGTCTAATACAAGCGGTTTCATTGTAGCCAGAAGATAGTCTCCATTTGTTTTTCTTCTTAGATCTCCCATTAGAAAAAAGTATTTGATTATATTGTATGCTATTTTTATTAAATACAACCATTTTGTGAAGTGAGACACTATTTTATGTTATTGACTATACCACTATCTTTTTCTTAATTTATTTCACGTTTGGAGTGTTCCTCTGCATACCTACCAGGATGTAATGCTCAAAAATGTGGTCAACCACTCTACTTTTGTATCTCTTTCCAGCAGTTTTCCTACTGTCCTCTCAAAAACCCAAGATTTCTCTTCTCTTCTCTTCTCTTTCCTTGCCCTGCCTTTCTGTTCTTTCCAGAAAGCTATCTCTATTCCTAAGACTTTTTTTTTTCAGGGCAACTTATAACCAGGGCATTCTGAGGTGGAATAAGAGAAGGGCAATGATGATTGGCTTCCCAACTGCTTGCAGGTATAAATGTTTCAGACAAAAATGTAAATTTATTGTAAGTAAAGAGGATTAATACACACTTCTATGGAGGTCAAACTAAGTAGATTTTTCTCCCAAGTAAATCTACACAAGATACACCTATGGATGTTGTAAGTTATTGTACTTAGCAATTTCTGGCCATCCCAATAACCATATTAAAAAAACACCTCAACATCACTGATCATTAGAGAAATGCAAATCACAACCACAATGAAATACCATCTTCCACCAGTGAGATAACTATTATTAAAAAGTCAAAATATAACAGATGTTGGCATGGTTGTGGAGAAAAAGGAATGCTTATACATTATTGGTGGGAGTATAAATTAGTTCTACCATTGTGGAAGACAGTGCAGTGATTCCTCAAAGATCTAAAGACAGAAATACCATTTGACCCAGCAATCCCATTACTGGGTACATAACCAAAGAAATATAGATAGTTCTATTGTAAAGACACATGCATACATATGTTCACTGCAGCACTATTCACGATAGCAACGACATGGAAACAACCTAAATGCCCACCATTGAGAGACTAGATAAAGAAAATGTGGTACATATACACCATGGAACACCATGCAGCCATAAAAAGAATGAGATCATGTTCTTTGCAGGGACATAGATGGAGCTGGAGGCCATTATCTGTAGCAAACCAATGCAGGAACAGAAAACCAAATAACGCATGTTCTCACTTATAAGCAGGAGCTAAATGACGAGAAAACATGGACACATAGAGGGGAACAACACACACTGGGGCCTATTGGAGGGTGGATGAGGAGAGGAGGGAAATGACCCAGAAAAATAACTAATCAGCACTCGGCTTAATACCCGGGTAATGAAATAATCTGTACAACAAACCCCCATGAAACAAGTTTACCTATGTAACAAACCTGCACATGTATCCCTGAACTTAAATTAAAAGTTAAATTTAAAAAAATTCTGTTGATCAGGTTGGTCAATAAACAATATTGAGTTAAAACTCTGTTGCAACAAACTGATCACGTACATTTGAGACACAGTAATATCTTACCTTTTTCCCATAGGTGAGAACAACTCTTGCTGATTTCTGACTTTTGTGCAAGCATATCTTCCCAGATGTTTACATGTTCAAAGTCCTATATCCTATGTTTCTTACCCTTAGAAAGTTTTTTCTTACTCCTACTTCTCTGAAAGTGATATAAATCACTAACTTATTTGAATAATAAACAAATAAAATGGTATATAATTTTTCATTCTCTTCCTAGAAACTTGAATCTGATTACTTTGAATGCAGAGACATAATCTAATATTATCAATACATACTGAGCAACCTCAGCTTTCTTGATCTGTTTGCATTTGTAATGTAATATTTCTTCAGAATTATTATTTTAAACAGTCAGACTTATCTGTATCACCATGCAGTGATGTGTGGCTCTATTTCTTAAAGATAATGAAATGTTGGATGGGTCTCTGCTAACATTCCTGAGCTCAGTAATGTATTTGTCTCCTCTACTACCTCTTTAAGAGACTGTGGCATGAAATAAACTAGCTTCTGCATTATTACATCTCCATGACTAATAGAAATTAAATAAAAATTAATATTTGAAAAATATCACCTGTCCACCAATTATAAACATTTTAAGGCAACCGTTTTCTACAAATTAAAAACCAAAAAAGAATAATTAACAGAAATAAGATGAAGCCATATATGTCTAGTCTGCATATAGCAAAAAGAGAATTAGAGTCCATTAGCTCCACTTCTGTCATTATGATTGACATTTACATCTGAATGAGGCCTAAGAGTCATTAAATATAAATGTTCTGAATTTACATATGAGGAAACACTGAGACAAAGTGGTTAGATAATGTTACACAGCTAGGTACATTCGAAAATAGAGTGCTTTTAAAGAAAGTGGTGGGCCTGACTGTTGAAAGATATTGTGAAAATTCTAGGGCTAATGAGAGCTCAGTTGGATTTAGCAGAATCGGATAGATTCTGTTTTCTTAAAGATATAGATGGTCGTATGGCAGGATGCACAGGGCTTCCCTTCAGATAACATACCCATTTCCCGTGAGGCATCTCATGAAATGGTCTTTAGCCCCTAAAGAGACAGTCAAGACACCTGCTTGTGATTTGTAGTTGTCTCCACTGAATGGACTTTTGAATCATTTCTATTTAATTTTGATTAATTTGTCTTCTTCAGTTGTACCCTTTTATTCCATTTGATTTTAACAAATGTCCTTAACCTTTTTTAGTAAGGCCTACTAAATAATTGTGCATACATAGATTTTAAATAATTACCTTTTAAAATCTAACTTTCAAAGGTGGAAAGGAAAATCACAAGGAAGTCACAGCTATAAATATTATTCATTTATTTTGCAAGGGATATTGAAAGCTTTTCGTCTCTGCCAGTTACAATGTCCCTTTTAGCCCTGCTCACACAGAAGGCAACCATAGAATGGAGGCCTTAGTGATTAACCAAAAATCTCTTTCTGTTGTTTTAGTTCCCAGCTCATACAGGATAATAATGAGGCTACCCTCATGTAATGCTGTGGATTCTTTTTTAACAGGTTAGGCTTCTTCTGTTTCTGAAACCTCAATTTCTTTAGAAAGAAATTTAAGGTGAAAAATTCCTGGATCTAGCCCAAAAAGTTCCTGATGTAGGTCAGATCTTATTAACAAATAAAGGGAGGAGGGCAGAGGCACCAACAAGGGAAGGGCTCTGGATGTGATCATAGAGATTAGATTTAGTTGAGTCAAATATTCTGAATTTTCCATTACTTTTTTTTAGAACAAGGTCCAAGAGATAAAAAAAAAATCCCTATAAATCAGTCTGTCTCTAGTGCGAATTTTAGGCCATTCTGCGTCAAGACAAGCCCTCAGAAGGAGTCTTCCTATACTCTCTTTCCCAACCCTGAGAGCTCAGAATTAGTATATATGCAATATATAATAAGACAGGGGCAGCTGTACTTTTGTTGACTTCCCTATAAATACAAAAGAAGGAAATACTCATTTAAATTAGCGAAGTTTTGACAGAAGCCCTAGATTTCCTCAGGAAAAGAGCTCAATGATAGTGGTAACTTCTTTTTTAAAATACAATTTTAACTCCTATTTTAGATTTAGTGGGTACATGTGCAGGTTGTTACCTGGGTATATTGTGTGATGCTGAGGTTTAGGGTACAATTGATTCTGTCACCCAGGAACTAAGCATAGGACCCAATAGTTAGTTTTTCAGCCCTTGGTCCACTTCCTCCCTCCTTCTTAGTAGTGCCCAGTGTCGTTGCTGTGTTCAAGTGATAGCTTCTGAAGACTCATTTTGGTCATGTGTGGTTACCATCCACAGCTGGCTGACTCCCAATAGAGCCACCTGCACCTCAGGTCAACACATGACTGAGATGAACCCACAATAATGAGATCCAAGCTCCCAGCCAGTGCCTGTCCACGAAACCACATTGCCACTGCTCAATCTGAAGCTTGTTCCACTGAGTTACACTGCTTGATGAGAAAGCCTTTTCTGTTATTACTGTAATCATCTTTAGAATCAAGAGACCTAATTCATGTCCCCGATCTTGACACTAACGACTTTTAATGCTTCTTATTTGTAATATGTGGGTCTTAAAGTAGACAATGCAAAAAAAAAAGGAAAAGAAAAACAAGCAAAAGTAAATGATTAAACATTTACTTCTAGCTCTAAGCTTCTGTTATTGATGATGCATTCATACCACCTTTATCATTAAGTAAAAACATGTTAGGTATGTCTCCTGAGCAAGAAAATGCCTGAGGAGCAAAGAATCATACCATATAGCTCCATGCCCTTTGGAGGCTCACAATCAACTATAGAAAACAAAACAAGTCATAAGGAAACTATAGCATAATAGCATATGTATTTTTGAGCACTGGACAAAAAAGTTTCTTGTTAGAGATGAAGTATAAATGACCACTCATTTTTCTTTAGTAAAACTATGAAAACTTTTGATTAATCCAACCATAGAGATTAAAATGTGATGGGCCTTTTAAGCCTTCTTCCATTTTCTCTTGATGCTTTCTAGAGCAACAAGATGACTGGGTTCCAGATTGTGGGTTTGCTTCAGGCAGCAACATGCATCAGACATTTTATGGTCTACCTATTTCCTGATCAAAAGAGAAGTTCCAAACCCATTTTCATCAACATTTGCAGATGCTCTCTTCCTCCAAATGTCTTTTTAAGTATGTAGACAGAGCAGTCTGGCTCTAGTGATCTCCTCTTCTGGCTATATAGTTACATGTTCCAATAGATGACATCTTCCAAGGATCTTATATTTTAAAATAACAGAAATATTATTTCATATCTAGATACACATGGCCTAGAAATTAATATGATCACCAATGAGAAGTGTGACAAAGTCTTCCCTCTTGTTCACAGAAATCAGGGATGGGGAGCAGGAAGATTTGGCCAAGTTCCTAGGAGAGTTTCAGTATAGGAGCACCATTGACAACTGCAGGAAATATCTTTGTCCCAGTCATTATGCCGCCAGGAGTGCTTGGAACTCAGCTGCACACAGTGGGAGATGGGAGCTCTCTGAAGAGGCAGATGGAGCTACGTGAGGAAGTGAGGAAGCAGAAGCTCCAATCCTACTTGGAACCATCCCTTTTCCTCCTTTGTCACTCAGCCCAAGAGATTCTGAGCTTGTGTATTCTTTCCTGCAACTGGAAGCATAGAGTTTATCGTCAAGACAGGCACTGCAAGCCTTCCTCTGGATGCCCCTCCAACCTTTTCTCTCAAGTCCCAGAGGGGCAGAATCAGAGGGTAGTGTCAATGAGGTTTTCAAGGTCAGTGTCAGGTCAGTTAGTTGATGAAGCTTCAACTTCATTGAAGGAAAAATCCATTTCCTCTTTCTCTTGTGTATTTTCTGCTGGTTAAAAATAATGCACACTGTTGCCAAGAATAAAAGGGAATTATATTTCCCACCATTTCTAATCTTCTTGAGTAGAACCAATTTATTTTGTGTTGAATGAGGGTGCTCATATGCCAAAAGGTAGCCCTGGGACTGAATTGAGATATGAAGGGAAATTGAAGCACAATAAAACCCCATGCATGATGGTTTGCACCAGATCCATAATTACCACAGAACATGTTCTTATGTAGACAGGTGCAGGTAATTAAGCAACACATTGACAATTTTTCAGTCCCTTAGCCATTTCCAAGGGAGCTGGGATAATGCCATGCTCAACAGACAAACCTTTCTAGATGGGATCAGGAATGACAAAGAACTTCTACACCACTGTCCAGTCTCATACGAAACAATTAAAATTTAACTTTGTTCCTTTAATTGAGTGTAAAATTTATCTCTTGTACCTGTCTGGCTAATTACCTTCTGGAACATCATTGGCTATAACACATTGTATATGAAATTAACATTAGGGTGATACAACCAAAGTCTTCAAATTTCAAAACTTCTTGGAACATGAACTTTGTTAAATAAGTATAATCCACTAATACATTGACAAAATTGGATGTGAGAAATATTAAAAATAATGAGGTCGGGCATGGTGGCTCACACCTGTAATCCCAGCACTTTGGAGGGTCGAGGCAGGCGGATCACGAAGTCAAGAGATTGAGACCAGCCTGGCCTACATGGCGAAATCCCATCTCTACTAAAAATACAAAAATCAGCTGGGCATGGTGGCACACATCTGTAGACCCAGCTACTCGGGAGGCTGAGGCAGGAGAATGGCTTGAACCTGGGAGGCTGAGGTTCCAGTGAGTCGACATTGTGCCACTGCACTCCAGCCTGGTGACAGAGCGAGACTCCATCTCAAAAAATAATAATAATAATGCCCATTTATTGTTTGGCCTCATGCAACCATCATTTAGCTTAAGTACCTAGCAATTCTTGAGGTAGGGATTATCTCTATTTTACAGAGGAGGAAGTGTAGAGAGATTAGGCAACTTTCTTAAGGCTCCAAAGCTAGAAGTAATGGTATTTGGGTTTAAGTATCCTTCAATGCATATCTTGATGTTTACGGATCGCTAAATTGCACATCAATTGGGTAGTGTGTATCTTTTGTAACAGCTGGGAAGCCATAGTGAATCAATAGTTGAATCTCAATTTACGATGGATTTTTCAGTTTTTCATTAATATTAGCCTGAAATTGGATTTATAAACTGAGGTTGCTATAAGAATATTGAAGATCAAGGTCATAATAACATTCTTTATTCAAGAATAAAAACATGTTATCTTCAGAACTTGGGCCTTCTTGCAGACCTGCAATTGTAGGAATTGCATGATGGCTATTTGTTATGGGTTCAATCGTCCCATGTCACCCTCCTGCCCACAATGCATATGCTGAAGCCCTAACCAATCCCCTCGCACACCCAGGACCTCAGAATATGACTTAATTTGGCATTAGGACCTTTAAAGAGATGTTCAAGTTAAAATGAGCCCATTAGAGTGGGTGCTATTTATTTATTTTTTATTTATTTATTTTTTGAGACGGAGTCTCACTCTGTCGCCCAAGCTGGAGTGCAGTGGCATGATCTTGGCTCACTGCACCCTTGGCCTCCCGGGTTTAAGCAATTCTCCTGGCTCAGCCTCCGGAGTAGCTGGGACTATAGGTGTGCACTGCCACACCCGGCTAATTTTTTGTGTTTTTAGTAGAGACGGGGTTTCACCATGTTGGCCAGGATGGTCTTGATCTCCTGACCTCATGATCCACTCGCCTCAGCCTCCCAAAGTGCTGGGATTACAGGCGTGAGCCACCGTGCCCAGCTAGTGGGTACTATTTCAATGTAACTGATGTGCTTATAAGAGGAGAGACATTAGAATACATGGAAAGACACCAGAACACACATCCACTGAGGTAAAACCATGTGAGGACACTGGGAGAAGGCAACCATCTGCAAGCCCAGGAGAGAGGCCTGAGAAGGAACCAACCCTGTGGACACCTTCTCCTGGGACTTCCAGCTTCCAGAGGTGTGAGAAAATACTTTTCAGTTGTTTAAGCCAATCAGTGAATGGTGTCTTGTTATGGCAGTCCTAACAAACTACTGCAATATTTTACGCCCATATTTATGAAATTCAAAAACAAACTCTGACTGACAAGCAGGCAAGGATATAGTAAAATTTAGAGATAATAAATGAAACAGAAAGCTTGCTTTTAAAAAAACTTAAATGTAAAAATGACCCTAATTAATAAACTACAGATACTTATGTCCCACTTACAAACATGAGAACCAATTCAGCTTTTGCCAGTTCCAATACAGATGAAACCATCCATGGCAATGGACCACTATTTGGAATATATATGGTGATTAGGCCTCTTTTCATTATTGTATCTTGCCTGGGTCTCTAAAACATGTAATCTAAAAGAATGGAGCGCAAGTCAGGGAATTAATTGGAAAACTATGGCTGTATTTTGCTTCTGTCAGTATTTTATTTTTTTATTTTTTTATTTTTGACAGGATCTGGCTCTGTCGCCCAGACTGGAATGCAGTGGTGTGATCTCAGCTCACTGCAGCCTCTGCCTCCTGGGCTCAAGTGATCCTCCCACCTCAGCCTCCCAAGTAGCTGGGACTACAGGCACATGCCACCACATCTGGCTAATTTTTGTGTTTTTAGTAGAGATGTGGTTTTGCCCTGTTGCCCAGACTGGTCTCAAACTTTTGAGCTCTAGGAATCTGACTGCCTCAGCCTCCCAAAGAGCTGGGATTTCGGGTGTGAGCCACCACACCCAGCCAGTATCTCCTTAAAGGTCATTTGAGAAATTCAATTAAACTCTCTAGGCCTCAGTTTCCCCACCTCCAAAGAAAGAAGGTTGAACTAGATGACCCCTGGCATTCTTTCATGTATCAGTGTTTCATATCTGTGCCTGAATGAAGCAGAAACAGTGAAAATAGGATTTTAAAAGACAGAACCTATGGACATTTTGCCTGGAAAATAAAATATAAATAATGAATGCAGAAACTTATTCTAAAGACCAGGAAAAGAAAATTGCTCTGATGAGGACATTGACTAATTATTCTTTCATTTAATAATAATAAAGAGTAAAAGTGGATTTCAATGAGCAAGAAAAACAAAGCATTTGTAGAGAAAAAACAGACCTAGTTTTTGAGGGTGTCTACTGGAATAGGTTACAAGGCAGCACTAAATGATTTTCTTCCTGAGAGACTTTTTTAAAGTAATGGTTAACCACTTGGTGGGTTGCTTGATAAACACACTAAGTATTTATTATGTATTAGGCAATATGTTGGGTGCTAGGTATAGATTTGTGAGCAAAAATACAAAAAGGCCCCTGCCATCATACTTATGTAGAAAATAGTAATCAAATTAACACAAATATAGTAGCAAAATAACTTGAAGAAAATGTATATGGGGCTATGAGAACTTACAACAGGAAACAGCGTCGGAAGTCAGGGAAGGTTTCCCGGAGAAGGTGTCCTTTGAGCTATTTGAGTTAGAATCTGTAAGAAGCACAAAGACCCCATTAGTGTCCTGTACCAGACCTAAGCTCCAGTTCATTCTTACCAATAGAATCCTGCTTTTTTTTTTTCTCAGTATCAATGTGCTCAAAGTTAGATAACTAACTTATAGCCTTTGTTGCAACTAGAAAGATCTATATGACACGATTTTTGTACAGGAGCAGTAATCAGAACACTGCAAGTGATTTCTCAGAAAAGGTTATTTTCCTAATATAAATGCTGCACCTTTCTCTTTGTCATTTTTCCTTCCTGCCTGGAATAGAAATGCAATATTTGGAGGTACAACAGCTATCTTGTGGCTGTGAAGAACAAAGCCAAGTGACATTGTGGCAGATCAGGATCAAAGCATTTCTTGACTTATCTTCTACTGATAGGAATTTAACAATTTTTCTGAGCAACAAGACCAGATGGAATTAGAAATTGAAGTTTTGTTTCCAACTATTAATAACAGGTCAAATCTACAGAGGCTCTTAACAGCCATCCAGTGGTGTAGCCATCCAGGCTCTCTGTCACTCATACTGATGGGTATTTTCAGTCTGACCACTCTCTCTTGTAACTGTACTCTTCTCCTCCCCATCCCCAGTGTGGTTTTCACTCATCAAGTGTCAGTCATGTTTCCTGCTAAACCTCTTGTCAGTTTTACTTGGTATTATAATTATGTAATTTAATTACATGTTACCTAAAACAATGAAACATGAGTGTCAAAATAAGTCTGGAGCAACTGAAAACTGCTAAACTATGTCCCAGTGGGTTTAGGCAAAGCATTCTTTATGTTAATAATCTAGGAGAAACTCATACAACCCAAGAAACATTTTGCACTCAAATTCCTGCATATGTCTTCATGCTCTTTCTTGCTCCAATTAAAACAAAAACTAGACATTACAAACGAGGTAACATCAGTGTAGTTTTTGTTCAAAGGGCCACAGGAAAATATAAGAAACTCCAATTAGCCAATTGATACTCAGAGAAAGATCTTATCAAAAATTACCCAAAAAGGTGCATGTATATGCTTTAGCTCAAACCAAAAAGATTGCGTGTATTTACTTATTTTTCAAGGTTTACTACCTTAAGTGACTTTTGTAATTAACCAAATTCTGGTCCATCTGATGGAGTGAAATACTGATGGAGTTTCTGCTATATCGTTACTTTAATCAACATGTTATACTATGATTTTAAATCAGTTTCAAAACTGCAAATTTTGACCCAATGATTAATCGAATCAGATGCTCTGGTTCAATATACTAGCTGATATGGGCACAAAATATGATTTAAGTATCATATGAGGTTTTTGGTTTCATTTCCATTGTTCAATCTCTGGCCAACACTTTGTCCAAACATTGTCTAAATGTTTAAATATTAGTAACATTGATACATACTAAAGCAGGCATCAATCATGAACTGAATTTTCTGTACACATTAAATTACATTGGCCTATATTCTGTCATTATGTAAGATGTCCTCTGCATACAAGCAAGGCACACTAGGAAATGCATAAATTCTTCTAGGTCAAAAAGGAATCATTTCATATCTAAAGAAATAATTTATACGGTCATACAGCACTAAGTTGTTCCCTTGCAACAAATGACACCCTAAAGTCATGAGACAGTAAACTAGCTGCTAGAACGCCAAACTGGCATACACCAGTTTTCTTATTTAATATATACTTTCTACAGGAAAACAAAATGGCAAATTGCCAGAAAACAAAAAAAAAAATCCCACTGCCTAATCATAGAGGTCCTTAACAGCTGAGTTTTGGTGATTTCTTACAGGGCTGCTGCCTCACAGCTGCAGAGTAATAGCATTATCTATGAATTCACAACAGCTGTTAAGTGCTGCCATTTCCTATGCCTGGGTAGAAATCCTTCCTATTATGGCTTATTGTGCCAATGTTGGGTCCACTGATTATCAGATAATTTAATTGCCTACAGTAGCTCTAGAATTCTACACCCATCCGGTGAGCTCTCATCTAACTCGATGGCCAACACAGATTTCTGCCATGTTATGCTTACACAATCCTGGTGGAATATATTCATCTCCCATGAACCTACAGAAGATGCTGATGTTTTGTTTTGTGTTTTGTACTCCAGATGTGTCTATGTTCCTCTTGGTTGTCTCTGTCCTCAAACAGCAGTAGCCAAATCTATAAATAATAAATGTAAAGTTCAAATAAGCCATGAGCAGAGGTTGCTGTGAGCCAAGATCACATCACTGCATTCCAGCCTGGGTGGCAGAGCAGGATCCTGTCTCAAAAAAAAACGTAGGCATTTCAATGCCTGCTTCAGCCAAACAAGCCATGAAAGTAGAAACTTAGAAATAGAAGTCACTATTATCTTATCTAGATCAAATTGTATCCTTATTTCATTTGAAGACATAAAATTGCCTTTCAGTGAGCTGGAGTAGCTATCAAATAATGTTTTTGTAGTTAGAGTTCAAAACTTGACTGGTTTCAACAGTTTTGCCCGCAGAAAACCTGGCCTAGGGTTTATAATTATTTATAATCATGGATTTGATGTTCCTGTACCATTCTCAGTATGTAGAGGTCATGAAAGAAAGCCATGAAAGTAAATGGGGTCTCCCAAGGGAGGAGAGGGCGAAAATGTGACTTTAAGGAACACTAACAAGAGAGTGTATAAGGGGTAGTAGAAAACCTGGATGATGCAGAGGGATGGAAGATAAGAAAAGAAGGCTTTCAAAGCTATGGGGGCAGGGCGCGTGGCTCACGCCTGTAATCCCAGAACTCTGGGAGGCCAAGGCAGGCGGATCACCCGAGGTTGAGAGTTTGAGACCCAGCCCGACCAACATGGAGAAACCCCATATCTACTAAAAATACAAAATTAGCTGGGCATGGTGGTGCATGCCTAATCCCAGCTGCTTGCGAGGCTGAGTCAGGAGAATCACTTGAACCCAGGAGGCAGAGGTTGCAGTGAGCCAAGATCGCACCGTTACACTCCGGTCTGGGCAACAAAAGTGAAACTCCATCTTAAAAAAAAAAAGTTATGGGTACACAAAAGCATACAGAGTGGTGTAATGAACTTTGGAGACTCAGAAAGGGGAGAGTGGAAGGAGAATGAGGAATTAAACTACATATTGGGTAAAACGTACACTACTTGGGTGACAGGTGTCCTAAAATCTCAAGACTTCACCACTATATAATTAATCCATGTAACCAAAAACCACTTGTACCCCAAAAGGTATTGAAAGAAAAATATTGAAAGAAAAAAAAATACAAAGAAAAAGGTTTTCTAAAAGGAGAAAGTGGTTTGCTGTAGGAACTACTTCTCAATCATCAAGTAAGACCCAGAGAATGAGAATTGTCCATGAGACCCAACCACAAGGAAGCCCCAGCAACCCTGGCCATCACAATCTCCTCAGAGCAGTGTGGACCAAAGACAAATTACAATGAAAAGACACGCAGGGTTTGTCCAGCGGAAAAAGTTGAACATGCTTAAATACTAGGAGTCAACAGAGGAAAGAGGTTAATAAACAGGAGGGAGAAGGTCGTCAAAATTCGAAGACCCTCCACTTAGCACCAAGTCTTAGTAGCAAGTCTCTAAGATGACTTCCACCTCCTGGTAGACACACAGCTATGTAGCTGCCTCCATTTTGCTGGGATTGATATTTGTAACAAATAGAATGTGACCAAAGTCATTTCCTAGATTTTAAAAACCACCGTGCTTCTGCCTTCGCTGTTCTTCTTGAACTCTCCCTGGGGGATGCCAGTGGTCATGCCTGAGGAAGCTCAAAGCAGCCTGCTCAGAGGTCCACATGGAACTGAGGTCTCTGTCCAACAGCCAGAAAGGAGCTAAAGTCAACCAAAAACCACGTGAACGAACTTGGAAGTAGATCCTCCACCACTGAACCTTGCTTGACCACAGCCCTGACCATTACTTTAGTTCAACCTCATGAGAGGCTTAGGCAGAACAACCCAGCCAAGCCACTTCTGGATTCCCCCCCCTCAAAAACTGAGGTAATATGCACTCAGTGTTTTAACCTGCTAAATTTTGTGGTGATTTGTAACAATAGATAACACAATGAGAAACAAAAGCCAAAGGAAAAGGGATTCAGGTCTCAGAGAAACATATTAGCTTGAGACAGGAGGCAGTGTCATTCACTCCCGTAAGAAGAGGTAAGAAAATACCCTTTTGTATGGATTTAAGTAGATAGGTGAGTCTCATTAACTTTATAACGCACATACTTTCTAGTTTGACTTTTGGCGTGAGGTATTCTTCAGTGTCTTACCTTGTTTGTGGAAAGACAACCGATGAAGCCATTTTCCCATGCCTGGTGGTTGACCAAAGCAAGAAGATATTCCAGAACGTTGTTTAGATGTGCATGGTGGCAGTAACTATAGTCCCAATGTGCCCCGAATTGGTGGCGTCTTAGTCTCACTGACTTAAAGAATGAAGCCATAGACCCTCACAGGGAGTGTTACAGTTCTTAAAGGCAGTGTGTTTGGAAATTGTTTCTTCTGACATTCAGACATGTTTGGAATCTTTTTTTCCTGCTGGTGGATTCGTGGTCTCACTGGCTCAGGAGTGAAGCTACAAACCTCGCCGGTGAGTGTTACACCTCCTAAAGCAGTACGTCTGGAATTGCTTGTTCCTCCCGGTGGGTTTGTGCTCTCACTGGTTTTAAAAGTGAAGCTGCAAATTTTCATGGTAATCATCACAGCTCATACAAGCAGCATGAACCCAAAAAACACACACCTGCAAGATTTACTGCAAAGAGAGAAAGAACAAACCTTCCAACCTCCCTAAGGAAACCCCAGCTGATTACCACTGCGGGCCTGGGCAGCCTGCTTTTATTCCTTTATCTGGCCCCACCCACATCCTGCTGATTGGTCCATTTTACAGAGAGCTGATTGGTCTGTTTTACAGAGAGCTCATTGGTCCGTTTTGACAGGGTGCTGATTGGTGCGTTTACAATCCCTGAGCTAGACACAAAAGTTCTCCACATCCCCACTACATTAGCTAGATACAGAGTGTCGATTGGTGCATTCACAAACTCTGAGCCAGACACAGGGTGCTGATTGGTGTGTTTACAAACCTTGAGCTAGATACAGAGTGCCGATTGGTGCATTCACAATCCCTTAGCTAGACTTAAAGATTCTCCAAGTCCCCACCAGATTAGCTAGACACAGAGCGGTGATTGGTGCATTTACAAACCTTGAGCTAGATAGAGTGCCGATTGGTGCATTCACAATCCCTTAGCTAGACATAAACATTCCCCAAGTCCCCACCAGACTCTCGAGCCCAGCTGGCTTCACCCAGTGGATTTCGCACTGGTGCTGCAGGTGGAGCTGCTTGCCCTTCCCGCGCCATGCGCCGGCACTTTTCAGTCCTTGGGAGATCGATGGAATTGGCTGCCCTGAATCAGGGGGCTGCGCTCGTCGGGGAAACTCGCGTCGCGCAGGAGCCCACGGCGGTGGGGGGTGGTGGGGAGACTCACCGTCGGCCGGCACTGCTGGGGGACCTGGCGCACCCTCCGCAGCTGCTGGCTTGGGTGCTAAGCCCCTCACTGCCCGGGGCCGTCGAGGCCGGCCTGCCGCTCCGAGTGCGGGGCCCGCCAAGCCCACGCCCACCCGGAACTCTTAACTGGCCTCCAAGCGCCGCACAACCCTGGTTCCCGCCCGTGCCTCTCCACACCTCCCCGCAGTCTGAGGGAGCCGGCTCCTGCCTCGGCCATCCCAGGAAAGGGCTCCCACAGTGCAGCGGCGGGCTGAAGGGCTCCTCAAGCGCGGCCAGAGTGGGCACCGAGGCCGAGGAGGCGCCAAGAGCGAGCGAGGGCTGCCAGCAGGTTGTCACCTTTCACCAGCTTCTCAGGAGGCTAAAGCAGGAGAATCGCTTGAACCTGGGAGGCAGAGGGTGCAGTAAAAGGAAATTGCATCACTGCACTCCAGCCTAGCCAACAGAGTGAGACTCTGTCTCCAAAAAAAAAAAAAAAAAAAAAAAAAAAAAACCAAGGAGCCTGGATTGGGAGAGAATTAGGATTAGGAGGATTAAGAGATTAAGTCAAGAAATTAGTAAAAAAAAAAAAAAAAAAAAAGAGCTTGAAGTATAGGCAGGTGTAGCTAGAGAGTGGAATGTCTGAGATGTGAGTTTAGCAGTGGAACCACTGTGGTTAACAAGTGTAAGGACACTGTGGCAGTGTGTGGCTCCTAAAATTGGTCATGAGACCACTAGAAACCAAGGAGTTAGGCTGTCAGTGGGTCATCTATGTGGACACAGAATTGACATGGGAAGACAATTAAGACTTTAGGCAGGGCAATAGCCAGGGATATCCTTGTTGGGAGCACAATGGGAAGGAGTGGCGTAGCACGTTCAGATGACAGGAATGAGTGGCAGTTTGAATAATCAGATGCAGAAGGTAGGCCGTGGCATTGGGAATTGAAGAAAGCACCCCTCAGGCAGCTTGCACTAAAGCAGGGCGGTTAGGGAAGAATGGGAGCATTCTCCAGGGAGGGCTTCAGGGGAAGTGGAATCATGATGGGAAAGGCTGTTTCTCTGACTCAGGAAGTTCTTTTTTTTTTTTTTTTTTTGCTATTTTTTGTTGTTGTTGTTGTTTTGAGACGGAGTTTCGCTCTTGTTGCCCAGGCTGAAGTGCAATGGCCCTATCTTGGCTCTCCGCAACCTCTGCCTCCCGGGTTCAAGCAATTCTCCTGCCTCAACCTCCCGAGTAGCTGGGATTACAGGTATGCGCCACCATGCATCGCTAATTTTGTATTTTTAGTAGAGACAGGGTTTCTCCATGTTGATCAGGCTGGTCTCCAACTCCTGACCTCAGGTAAGCTGCCCACGTCGGCCTCCCAGAGTTCTGGGATTACAGGTGTGAGCCACCGCATCCCGCCTTCGATGTGTATCTAGCTCACTGGCCTAAATGGAGGTTTCTAGCAGCTAGAACATTCCCACACTGCCACCCAGGGGGATGAGTGGATCTGCACCTAGCACTCATGGGAACCATTTTCTCCAGCCTTGACGGGGAGACCTGTGGGTTCACACAAGGAGCTGGAGGAAGCATTTGGTGAAGATGTTGGAGGTAATAGCTCTTTGCATGTTAATTCTGACTTGTTTTAGGAAAGATGGCCAACTGCATGTCTGGTGACTGGGAAATGTTCCTTCTGGGAGAAGGAGATTCACTGCTAATGATTTGGGGCTTGGAACAGGCAGACACTGGCTCTAGATCCCTGGAGAGAATGCAAACCAGGAAGGAGTCGACACAGCTCAGAACCACTTATGATCTGTTAGATGCTATCATTTCTGAAAAGACATCTAAATTCATTGGAAATGAAGACTATTCTAGACTTTAGATAGAGAAGTCTTACCTGAGTGATGGGCATTTGCCTTGTTGCTTGTATATAAATGACCAGGCTGAAATAATGCTGTGGACTAATAAAGCTGCTCTCAGGGTGGAGGGGAGGGATGGGCCCAAAAGACTTACTAGTTTTATAACTAATTGTTGCTTCTATTAACGTGTAAAATTGCTAATAAAACAGTGATTTAAAATTTAACTTCATGGTGTCATTCTTCAGAATCAATTAGCAGTTAAATCATATTTTAGATGTTGCTTTGCTTGCTTCATGATTCCGTTTTACAGCAATCTTCTTAAGATCCATAAAAGCTGGGTTCATTTCTAGTTCCTTGTCTCAGGGCTTGCCCAGCGCCTTTCATATAATAGCCATTCCACTGTGTTTGTCGAGTGAATGAATAAACTCCAGAATAAGCTTGAGAGAGCTGTGGGAGCTTTTCAAATGTCCTGTTTCTTATTTTTTTTATTTTATTATTATTTTTTTTGAGACAGGGTCTCACTATGTCACCTGGGTTGTAGAGCAGTGGAGCAACAATATCTCACTGCAGCCTTGACCTCCTGGCCTCAAGTGATCCTCCGGATTCAGCCTCCTAAATAAATAGGACTACAGGCATTCACCGTCATGCCTGGCTAATTTTTAATTTTTTTTAAGAGACGGGGCCTTAATATATTGCCCAACCTGATCTCAAACTCCTGAGGTCAAGTGATCCTCCCACCTCGTACTGGGATTACAGGTGTGAGGCACTACACCCAGCCTGTCCCTTAAAACTTTTGCAGCAATAAAAATTTATATTAGAATGAATCTTTAATTAGTAAACAGAAAACTAGTAATATCTTTAGAAACTAATATGCGACAATAAAATGTAATATATTTATTATATTTACCATATCTATCACTGCAATATTGTTTAGTATTATATTTTCAACCAAATTTTCTCTACCCATGATCATGACAACTTTAAAAAGAAGTGTACGGTCGGCTCATTAAACAGTCTGGTTTTATTTACATCATACTAAGAGTGAGAATAAATCATAGTTTCTGAAAAGAAAATGCATTCTCATGTCATTTAATTTTTTTCAACTCTGCACAGACAAATGAACCCATTCATCTATAGTTCATTTCTTTCCATTATCGTTTTTACAATAGTTTAAAAAGTATTTAGCCAACATAGTTCAAATGAAATTTTTTATCAACAACCACTTATTCATTAAATTAATGTTTTGCAAAGAAATAATCAGCTAGTCTTGGTCTATTATGTGCTGCTATAACAGAATACCTCAGACCAGGTAATTTATAAGGAACGAAATGTATTGAGTCATGGTTCTGGAGGCTGGGAACTCTCAGACCATGTTAGGACCCATTTTCTCTGCTTTTAAGATTCTGCCTTGTATATGCATCCTCCAGATGGAAGGGAAATGCTGGATCCACACATAGCAGAAAGGCAGAAGGGCTAAGAACATGAGCCCTTTTATTAAGGCATGAGCCCTCATGGCCTAATCTCTTAAAGTCCTCTCTAACAACTGTTACAATGGCAATTAAATTTCAACCTAACTTTTGGAAGGCACATTCAAACTAGAGTATAGCTGAGCAAAAAAAACAAAAAAAAAAAACAACAAAAAAAAGAATTATGGTAATATTTTGATAATCTATCTTCAAAGATCCAAAACTGGAAAAAATATTCAAAGGTGCAACAAAATGATTTACTTCACTTCTTCATCAATTGTTCAGTCTATTCACCATTACCCAAATGCTGATTCCTTGGAGTGCACACAAGTAGCATTTCCCCAATCCTAATCACCTACTTAACATTGTTGTTAGGTTACACACTTGTGCATGCATTGTATGTGTATAAATCACATGTGTAATCACTTTTCCTATAACATATAGAAGCTTTGTCCTATATGTAATCTTCTTTAATCATTGCACAATATAGAAAATTGTAGCTCTATAGCTAAGTAACTAGCTAGCAAATGTTGAAATTTGAACTTAGATTATTTCTAGACTATATTTTTAATAATTATGATATACTAAATACTAGTTGATTATGAACAATATGCTGAATAAATATTCAGATAAATGGAATATTCACTGACAAAAAACAATTTTCATATTTGTAGAGGGATGAGAGGGCAGAAGCTACACTTCAGTGATCTTTAGTAATATTATTTAGAACTTTTACAACATTTAACAGGAGAACAGGATTGGTCGGTTTCACAATTTTACCTCTATTGTAAACTTATGACACCACATACCCCAGAAGCACATGATAAAACTAAGCATTCTGAAGCTTTAATGATAAAAATTAAGGCTAGGTAGAAATTATCCATAATGGTTCTAAATTTTCTTTTCATCCTGGTTCTAAATATTTAGAGCTTAAAGGCTATTTGGGAGCTTCTATGTGGCACGGTAAAGGAATTATTTTGAAAAGACAGTTTTTTATGCAGAGTATTTCCTCCTGTCTATAAAATACTAAACATAATGAAGAAGCCAGGCACAGTGGCTCACTCCTGTAATCCCAGCACTTTGGGAGGCTGAAGAGGGTGGATCACTTGAGGCCTCCAGGAGTTTGAGACCAGCCTGGCCAACATGATGAAATTCCATCTCTACTAAATATACAAAAATTAGCCGGACATGGTGGCGGCCATCTGCAATTCCAACTACTCGGGAGGCTGAGGCACGAGAATAGCTTGAATCTGGGAGGCAGAAGTTGCAGTGAGCCAAGATCATGCCACTGCACTCCAGCCTGGGTGACAGAGAGAGACTCCATCTCAAAAACAAAACAAAAACATAATGAAAACACACAAGGCAGGTTATATTTACATAAACAGACAATAGTAGAATAGGAAGAATTGGTCATTCTCCTTAATTACATGATAAAGTTGAAGCATCATAGATAATCTCCTCCTCTCTGCCTCTGAAACCACGTTTTAAAAGACATTCTTGAACAGAATGCATTTTGTTTGGAAGCAATCCTTAAGGAGAAATACCTGGGTTAGAAAGCCCTGCTCTCACAGAAGTCTCAATTGGTTCCCTGCAGTGAGTGAATTTGCAGAGTGTAGTGATGGTTGCTCACACTAGACTACATATTCCTTATATCACCCTATATATCATGTCTGCAGGGAATTACAGGATGCATGCAAACACAAAAATCCTCATACTCTTTTAATCACATTCATATTGGTCTTTATTCATGCCAGGCTATACCTCCCTGAAAGAGCTTTTGTATCTATCAAATTTTAAGTGACCTCTAGATGAAGAAAGAGAATCTTGAAGACCAGAATTAGTGGCTCTTTTTGTTTCTTGTGAATATCAGTAAATTTTTAAAGAAAATGACTTTAAATTAGGCATATGTGCTAATCCCAAGTGAACATAAATTCACCAAGGCCCCAAAGAAACATTTCCCCTCAAATTTTGGAAAGAATATTTTAACAGACCATGAGTTGTCTGACTCTGGATTTATATACATGGTTACTACTACATTTCTTTTCACTGTATTCTTGTTCAGAATAAGTACAAACATTGGTGTATGTGTATGTGTGTGGGGGGGTCCTCAAATGTCTTCAAAGCTATTTTGACTTATGAGCAGACTCTCATAAAAAAAATTATTTTTGCCAAAATTAGTTTTCCTATTTCTCCTAATGATACGATTTTCTGTGCATATTTTTTTAAAGAATGGAATTGTTTTGTGGCCCATCAGAGTAATGTGTTCATACATAAAAAGCTTTTATGAGACAATGTTGTAAGCGGAAGAGTGTCTATTCACATGGAAATTATTGCCTGGATTAAAAACGTTTTAAGCCAGAAGATTGGCAAATCAAAATTTTTTTGTCTCAGTTTCTTAGAAAAGTGCCTTTATTTCTAAATCCATAAGTCAACACGGTAGAATGAAGCTATTTATTGCTCGGATGGCACAATCAAAATAACAATGACCTCCTTTTTCCAATTCCAAGTGGAAAAACAATTGATATTATTTACCGAAATATTGAAAAGAAACTTTTAAATACAGAAAACATGTGTTAGAAATGAGTAAGAGCTAATCACTAAAGTGAGATAGGTTGAAGTTCTGGGTTTCTGAATTCTTCATGAAGTTGCATTGAATCCATCATGTGCTCTTCTTTAAATCTTTTTACCTCTTGCATATCAGTGTCTTCAAATGCGTAACATTAACTATTCTAGCCACAATAAGGACATTAATTCCTTTTTTTTTTCTTTGAGACAGAGTCTCACTCTGTTGCCCAGGCTGGAGTGCAGTGGCATGATCTCAGCTCACTGTAACCTCCGGCTCCTGGGTTCAAGCGATTCTCCTGCCTCAGCCTCCCAAGATGCTGGGATTTCAGGCATGCACCACCACGCCCGGCTAATTTTTGTATTTTTAGCAGAACCGGGGTTTCACCATGTTGGCCAGGCTGGTCTCGAACTCCTGACCTTGTGATCCACCCACCTCAGCCTCCCACAGTGCTGGGATTACAGGCGTGAGCCACCGTGCCCAGTCAGGACATTAATTTTTAATTTCCTTAGGTCCAAACACATTAATCCATTTACTTATTGTAGGTGTCCTGAGTATTAATAAAATTTTAGGAGAAAGAAAACCTAGAACCAGAAAAAAAGGAATCTCCTTTTGAAGTGAAGCACATAGAAAATGGCAGAACTAGGAAGGAACCAACGTGTCCTGACTTTAAGTTCAATGTCTTTTTCATTAAATTATGCTGCAGAACTATTAAGATATGCTATTGCTTTGGAGTATCCTAAATAAAACTATTCTTTCTTATACTGTAAGGTTGCTATCAGCTATCAATGGTCTCAATTGTCTAATAAGACAACATGAGAGAATATAGTCATTGAAAAGAATCCATAGATAAGTATAAAAATACTAATGTTTGAAATTCATTACAATATTTTTCATCAAAATAAAATATTAATTCAAAAAGTATTCCAAATGCAGTGTACCAAGAACTGTTTGGAAAGTAACAGCAGTGGTTTTCTTTGCCTCAAAGTATTCTCTGATAAAGTCAAATATAACTCAGTGACCAAAAGGGAGAAGCAACAGCAACAGAACTGACAGAAATACAGGAGAAAAAGATCAGAATTCTACCTGGACTTAATAATCAAACTTGACTCATGCAGATCTGAAAATGCATAATAATGTCTATAACTTGTAAGATGACATTCAGTTAGTCCCTTTATTAAATAATTCTTTATTTTACAACACTGTTAGTAGCACTGTAAAACCACGTATATGGAAGGAAGAAAGGATACGGATAATTAGAGCTTGGTGTGGAAGATGGCTTTTATAAAATTATGAAATCCAAGTAAAACAAACAAGCTGTCAAGAACAAAAACCCAGAACCTCGCACCTGATAAAACAACATTGTGTTGGGTCTAGCCTCATGCCAAGTTTTTGTGTCACTAGATATGTTGAATTAGAACACTGTATATGTATTTACTGTTCCTATAGAAACTCAGTACTTTGAAGAATAAGGGAATTTTGAGCAAGGTTTATGACATGATTATAAAACACAATGGCAAGAGTGAAGTCATGTCATGATGTTTTACAGGTCCAGACTCACCACTGTGTTATCAAAGTCAGCTGTTATATTTAGCTAATTAGTTGAGTTAATAGGTTGGCAATTTTGAGGGGGGGTTTAATTGTCTATTTATGTTTTCTTCACATCCCATGTCATTCTTTCTCAAAATAGAGAAGTTTCAAAATTCCACTTTTGGAAAAAAGAGGAAAGTCCTTTGTTTTGTTTTTGTTTATGGAAGTTCCACTCCTTCCTAACATATAGAGAGCAGAGAAGAATGTCATTTCCACTCTAAGAATCCTACAGTGGCCGGGCGCAGTGGCTCACGCCTGTAATCCCAGCACTTTGTGAGGCCGAGGCAGGCAGATCACTAGGTCAGGAGATGGACACCATCCTGGTTAACACGATGAAACCCCGTCTCTACCAAAAAAAAACACAAAAAATTAGCCGGGCGTGGTGGTGGGAGCCTGTAGTCCCAGCTACTCGGGAGGTTGAGGCAGGAGAATGGCGTGAACCCGGGAGGCGGAGCTTGCACTGAGTGAGCCGAGATGCGCCACTGCACTCCAGCCTGGGTGACAGAGCGAGATTCCATCTCAAAAAAAAAAAAAAAAAAAGAATCCTACAGTGACAATTGGCAAAAGCCATTAACCCTGGGTAGAAAGTCGGAGTCTATTGATAACAGAGATACAAAGATGGACAGGAACGCATCATCCTTGAGCCTCAGGACTGAGGCTGAAATAGAAAAACTGAGAACCATCCTTGGTACACCACCGGGTTTTCATTGAGTAACAACTTACAGCAGACTACCATTTGCTTCAGGACAAGAGAACCACTTCTGTGGCACAGGTGTGCGGAGGCTAATGAAAGCTAAACGTCGGGGAGGAATTTTGGAAAAAACTCTCCAGCGTTCCAGCCCTTGTAAGTAGCATAGGTAGTGGCCATGCTCCATAGAAACTATTTGAGACCAAGGTACAGTGAAAGTAACCAGAACAAGAGCAAAACTCAAACTCAGCCAACTGCTGGCCATGTTGACTCAAGCCTGAACAACTCTCTTGCAGAGGAAGAGGCATGCCTACTTCTGGGCATAAATACTCATTATCCCAGTCCTTGCTGTTCTGCCATAATGTCTGAGATTCAATCAAAAATTATGAAGTACCCCAAAAATAAGAAAAGAATGACCCACTGCTAAGAGATGTAAGTGTCAACCAAGCCAGATTCAGAGATCACACACATAAGAATGATCAGATAAGGACGTAAAAATAACTCTATTAATATGTCAATGCATCCTGCAGAAAAGGTAGACAACATTGCATTAGGGTTTTCCAGATAAATCGCTGTGTGTGTGTGTGTGTGTGTATGTGTGTGTGCTGGAGTCTTGAAATGGAAGGCAGTCTGGAAACAGAATTTTTTCTTTCTGAGGATCTCAGTCTTTACTCCGAAGGCCTTCAACTGATTGAATAAGGCCCACCTAAGTTATAAAGGATCATCCATTTTACTCAACGTCTTCAATTTAAATGTTAATCACATCTGAAATATACTTTTACAGTAACATCTAGACTGATACTTGACCAAATAAACTGGGTACCATGACCTAGCCAAGTTGATGCATAAAATTAACCATTATAACTAGTAGATTTGATGAGCAGATAAAGCATGAGTACAGACTAGCATGAAAGCAAGAAACTCCTGGAGCTGCAGTCACAGGAGGTCTTTATATTTTCTTGGTCTTTCACTCCAGGAACTCTACTAAATTCTCACTTCAAGGATTCAAGAAAGACTTTCTCATGGTTCTGACAGAAATAGCCATTGTGAAACCCTCCCAGAGCTAACTCCACAACAAAGTCCTACTCTCCAGAAAAAAGAGTTCCCCAGAGGGCAATACTGAAACCTTATCCCACCTGGGAGAAGAAAATTCCTCATCACTCCAGCCCACTCAAACTTTCTTGTCTCACCCGCAGGAAGAAATAAAAATATAGTAAAAAAGGAATAGGGCTTCAATGAAATGGATTGGGGCTGTTGCAGCCAGATAAGGGAATAGGCCACAAATGGGGAAAAAATAAGCTACATCCCTGGAGGAAGGATAGAAACACATGTGAAAGCGACATTCATCCCAGAGACACACATCCACTAAAAGATGAAAATTTTGTGTTACGATTACCACAAAGTAATCAAGCCATCTATCACCACACATAGTTACCCTTTGTGTGTATATGCGTGTGGTGAAGACACTTACAATCTACTCTTACCAAATTTCAAGTAAACAATACAGTATTATTAACTATAGCAACCAATTTGATCTGGGTAATTATTATACCGTGTACATGTATATCAAATCACATTGTAGACCTTGAATCTATACAATTCTTGTCAATTATACCTCAAAAAGTAGAAATAATTAAATAATTAATGTAACATAAAATGTCCTGTTATTTCAAAAGCAGTTGATAATTTTGATCTAAAATTGCTACTAAAATACAGAATATTAACTTCACCAGAGGTTAGTATGAATGACTAAGGAACTGAGTTTAAAAAGTATAAATTGAGATCCTAAATCCTAAACATGAAGAAAGATAAATGAGTTGACAATGTCTTTTAGGACAGTATTTTTATCTAACTTCTTATTCCTGAAAATGACAGATGCATAATATAGAACCAGACTTATTTACTTAAATACCAGCAATTACCTTAGAAACTGTGAGACAAGCTCTTGTCAATGCTAAGAGCTTAAACCCTGGAGTCTGATGTTTGGATTCCAAACCTGCTTCAACCTTAATTTCATGTGACCTGATGTAAGTGTGTATTAGTCTGTTTTCATGCTGCTGATAAAGACATACCTGAGACTGGGCAATTTATAAAAGAAAGAGGTTTAATGGACTTACAGTTCCACATGGCTGGGGAGGCCTCACAATCATGGCAGAAGGCAAGGAGGGGCAAGTCATGCTTTACCTGGATGGCAGCAAACAGCGCGAGCTTGTGCAGGGGAACTCCTCTTTGTAAAGTCCTCACATCTCGTGAGACTTATTCACTATCGCAAGGACAGCATGGGAAAGACTTCCCCCATGATTCAGTTACCTCCCACCAGGTCCCTCCCACAACATGTGGGAATTCAAAATGAGATTTGGATGGGGACACAGCCAAATCATATCAAAGTGATTGGATTCACCCACTCCATTTTCTCAATGGTAAAATGTACATTATAGTAAACACTATTTTATATGGAAAAAAGACCAAAACTTAATCTAAATATGATTGGACTCATCTCCTTTCTTACATTCTTCTACCATACCAAGACTCCAGTGGCAAGACACAAGCTCTCTGAGGAACAGTGCAATACAAAGCCCCAGAGACAAGGGAGGAAAGAAAAACAGGGACACTAAAGGAATTTGAAGCCTCAGGTACCTGACAATAAAAACCGTAAACCCAGCCCAGCTCCTAGTTAGGTTAACATCCTCACACCGAAGGCCTGTTTACTTCAGAACCTGTCACTGATGCACCATATCTGGCTTTCAACAAAACATTACAAGGCATACCAAAAGGTGAGATAAAAAGTGGTCTGAAGAAACAAAGCAATCAACAGAACTAAACTCAAATATGACACAGGTATTGGAATTATCAAGGAATTTAAAATAACTGTGATCAACATGTTACGGTATCTAATGCAAACAGTAGACCCTATGCAAGACCAAATGGTTGATGTCAGCAGCAATATGGGCAATATAAAAAATCCAAAGGAAATCCTAGAAATAAAAGGCACAGTAAGAGAAATAAAGAATGCCTTCAGCAGCTTATCAGAAGACTTGATGCAGCTGAGGAGAGAATTAGGGAAATTGAAGGAGGCACTACAAAAACTGCCCAAACATTAATACAGAGAGAAAAAATAATTTAAAAACCCAGAACACCTCAAAACTGTGGGACAATGTCAAAACGTTATGTGTATGTAAATAGAATAACAGAAGGAGAAATAATGAATAAAGAATAAACAAATTTGAAGTAATAATGGCTGAAAACCATCCAAAATTAACACCGACACCAATCCACAGACCCAGGAAGGTCAGACAATACTAAGGCGTTTCATACTCAACTTGCAGAAAATCTAGGAAAAAAGAAAATCATGAAGAAAGACACAGGGGGAAAACCCACCTTTACCTATAAAGAAACAAGGATAAGAATTACAGCTGATATTTTTTTTAAATCAGAAACCATGTAAGCAAGAAAAGGAAGGAGTGCAATCCTTACATTGTTAAAGAAAGTAATTGTCAGTCTAGAATTCTACACCCAGGGAAATTAACCTTCAAAAATTAAGAATAAATATATTCTCAGTCAAGCCAAAACTGAACAAATTAATTTCCAGGAGACCTGTACTGTAAGAAATATGAGAAGTACTTAAGGTAGAAGAAAAATACTATAGGTCATAAACTTAGACTGACATAAAGAAAAGAAAAATGTCAGAGAAAGACTAAATAAAAATTAATTTTCAATTTTTTCTTATTCTTATCAGAAAAATTACTATTTAAAGGAACAGAAGTAACAATGCATTAGGTGATTATAGTATTAATGACAGCAATGCCTTAAGGGATGGGAGGGAGAAATTGGTAATATTGTTATAAGGTAACTGTATTATACCCTTAATAATATAATGTTATTTGATGATGGATTTAAATATTTAAAATGTATACTGTAAATTTGAGAACAACTAAAAAAATTAAAGAAAAAGAAAGATTTAAGCAAATGCAATGAAAGAGAATGTATCACAGAACAAGAAGCTTAGGGAAACACAGGCAATGAGAATACGAAAAACTCAGGTAGGTACACCTCATAGTCAAACTGCTGACAATCCCAGGTAAAAAGAAAATCTCAAAGTCAGCCAGAGATAAGGACACGCTACATGCAGAGGAAGAAAGATCCAAATGAGAAGAGACTGCTTGTCAGAAATTGTGCAAGCAAGAAGACCAAGGAGAGATCTTTAAAATACTCAAAGAAAATTGTCACCTAGAATTTGATAACTCTTGAAAATATCTTGCAAAAATGAAGGCTAAATAAATGATTTTTTGACAAAGAAAAGCTGAAAAAATTTATTGTGAGCAGACCTGTACTACAAGAAAGGTTAAAAGAAGTTATTTAGGTAGAAAGAAAATGATATCAAATAAGCAGATCTACACAAAGGAATGAAGATCTTCAGAAATCGTAAAATTGTGGGTAAATCTAAAAGCCATTTTAAAAATTTTGAGTCATCTTAAGATTATTGTCTATAGCAAAGAAAAATGCTAGCAATTTGTTATGAGGTTTAAAATATGCAGAAGCAGAAGTAAATCATATAATGATAGCAACATGACAACTGGGGGAAAATGAAAGTCCACTGAAGAAATGCTTAATAAATGTTGGTTAAATATTTGAAAGTCCACTGAAAATGAAAGTCCACTGAAGTAGGCATACACCACACCACTGCAAGGGATGTCAAAGAATTTGCAGATATATTTTGAAACAATTTAAAGATTTCACTCCTTCCTTTTCTTCTGATTTAAAAAAAATCAGCTGTAATTCTTATCCTTGTTTCTTTATAGGTAATGGTTGGTTTCCCCCCATGTCTTTCTTCATGATTTTCTTTTTTCCTAGGTTTTCTGAAAGTTGAGTATGATATACCTTAGTATTGTCTGACCTTCCTGGATCTGTGCATTGGTGTCAGTCTTAATTTTGGATATTTTTCAGCCATTATTACTTCAAATTCATTTATTCCTTGTTCATTATATCACCTTCTGTTATTCTAATTATATACACATAAGCAGCAACAATCTGTGATGCTTTTGAAGTCATTAAATAAATGAATGAGGAAAAATGTAATATTATAATCAAGTTATAGTTTTCAAAATCAAATGTTATTTGTTAAACACCTTTGCTTATATCATCAATGGAAAAATTATCTCCCGACTGAAGTTTTAGTAAGAGAACCCATTCAGAGTTTAGTTCACACACATAGACTTTGGCATATAAAATGGAAAAACTTCACCCTTGATAGACTGTACAAAATATTTTTGTACTATGGAAGCTACTACTATTTTCCTAACGTGAGGAAAAATAGTAATACCACCCACTAGAGTGCCTTATCTTGATCTGTATCTGTTGATATTATCCTTTTGTTTGTGTCTTTCTTTAGTGTTGCTGACGTGCAGTTTATTAAGCCATGCATTGAAATCTTGTGTGGGGAACCTGTGGGTGGATTCTTGGCAAGAATCTCGGAGGTGGATGCCTGGCCAGGACCTGCAGGATTACTAGATAAATGTCACTAAAGTTTCACACTGCTATGAAAAGTGATGTCTACACCAAGTACAAACCCCAGTTGTTATTATTTATATTTGGTATCCTATATGGCTCCGAAGTCTCAAAGGACCATCAAACTCCATGTGAGCAAAACTTAACTCATCTTTCCCAGAACCCCTTCTGCTTCTTCAAAGTTAGTGACCATATACTCTTTCTCCTACTAGTATCTTACAGTAGTCACCGTTTTAATCCTTTGTGTATGTACAGGTCCCACAGCCAATTAATCATTAAGTTATCTAGACTTGACTTGGTATTTAAGATATTTGTACCATCCTCCTTATTGCTACTTTTATTTACTCCAATATTTATCACCAGAGTTATTGCAAGAATTTTCCAGCTGGTTCCCTACACAGTATCTTTTTGTTGCTGTCCTTAACTCTGCATTTCTCCCTAGCTGCCTGAACAAATGGGATTATATCACTCTTGTGCTTTAAATCTTTCCACAATTCCCCATGAGTTTCAAGAGATGCTCTAGCTAGGTTCCCTGAGCCATGAGCTCTTCATTATCTAGCCTTGTCTCCACCCTCACTTTCTGACATTCCTTGCCACAAACATATGCCACAAAAACACCCCGCTTGGGTCTACACACACACACACACACACACACACACACACACACTTCACTTTTTCGTGCCTTTTTTTCTGGTCCCACTCTCTGAACAGACAACCAGTCACCACCCATCTTTTGGGATTCAATTCAAGGTTAATTCCTCCAGGATGCATGAACTTTCTTTCCGGCACCCCCGCTCCCCGTCTCCCTGTGCCATCACAATGCAGGCGTCTCTCATGCAGTAGTACTACCAATTTATGTCTTTCTCTCTCATTAGGAAATAAAACATTCGGGGGCTGACTATGTGTTCATCTTTTTTACCCACAGCATCTGTGACTCAAGAAATGCTTAATACATGTTTGTTAAATATTTGCATTTATGGGAAATATGGTATTCATTATTTAGGCAAGTGTGTGAGATAACCATAATTGTTTCAATTATGTCAGTTTCAAAACATCTGCAAATTCTTTGACATCCATTGCAGAGAGGTGTGGTGTATGCCGCCTCTTCTTGAAACTGGGCATCGTTTGATCACTATTGCTACCAATAGAGGAGAGCAGAAGTGATGTATGAGCCTCACAAGGCTAGCTGACCAAAGGTGCTGCAGCCTCTACCTTGCTAGCTGGTGTGCCTGTTCTTAAAGTCTTGATTGGCCACGTAAGCAGTTTGTCAGCCCTGAGGCTACCTTGCTGTTGGGAAGCTCAGTCTAGACCATGTGGAGTCCATATGGCTGGATTCTGAGACTACATGAAAGAAAAAGATGATCAGTCTCCAACTGTCCCAATACTTCCTCCAATCACCTCTGTTCCAGCTACAGTTGCTCTGTCTCTTAACGTGTTAAGAAATTCCAAGCCACAACTGCTTAGCTGGTTCTTTCTAAAATTTCTCACCTAGAGAAAAGATGAGAAATAAAAATTATTACTGTTTTAAGCCACAGAAGATGTTATACAGCAATAAAAAACTGGAGCATTTATTTTGGAGAGTAAAGATAATGGGTTATAAACTTAGAATTAAAATCTTTTTAAATTAAATGTGTCCGGAATTGGTGGGTTCTTGGTCTCACTGACGTCAAGAAATGACACCACGGACCCTCGCAGTGAGCATTAACAGTTTTTAAAGGTGGTGTCCAGAGTTTGTGCCTTCTGATATTCAGATGTGTTCAGAGTTTCTTCCTTCTGGTGGGTTTGTGCCTTCTGATATTCAGATGTGTTCGGAGTTTCTTCCTTCTGGTGGGTTTGTGGTTTCGCCGGCTCAGAAGTGAAGCTACAGACCTTCCACGTGTGTTACAGCTCTTAAGGTGGCGCGACTGGCGTTGTTCGTTCTTCCCGGCGGGCTCCTGGTCTGGCTGCCTTACAGAAATGAAGCTGCAGACCTCCTCAGTGAGTGTTACAGCTCATAAAGGCAGATGTGGACCCAAATAGCAACAGTAACGAAATTTATTACAAAGTGAAAGTTCCAGGCTTCCACAGTATGGAAGGAGATCCAACTGGGTTGCCTCTGCCGGCTCGGCAGCCTGCTTTTATTCTCTTATCTGGCCCCACCCACATCCTGCTGATTGGTAGAGCCCAGTGGTCTGTTTTGACAGGGCGCTGATTGGTGCGTTTACAATCCCTGAGCTAGACACAAAGGTTCTCCACATCCCCACCAGATTAGCTATAGAGTGTCCACACAAAGGTTCTCCAAGGCCCCACTGGAGTAGCTAGATACAGAGTGTCGACTGGTGCATTCACAAACCCTGAGCTAGACACAGGGTGTTGATTGGTGTGTTTACAAACCTTGAGCTAGATACAGGGTGCTGATTGGTATATTTACAATCCCTGAGCTAGACATAAAAGTTCGCCAAGGCCCCACCAGAGTAGCTAGATATAGAGTGTCCACTGGTGCATTCACAAACCCTGAGCTAGACACAGGGTGCAGATTGGCGTATTTACAATCCCTGAGCTAGACATAAAGGTTCTCCACGTCCCCACCAGACTCAGGAGCCCAGCTGGCTTCACCCAGTGGGTCCCGCACGGGGGCTGCAGGTGGAGCTGCCTGCCAGTCCCGCGCCGTGCGCCGGCACTCCTCAGCCCTTGGGTGGTCGATGGGACTGAGCGCCATGGAGCAGGGGGCGGCGCTCATCGGGGAGGCTCGGGCCGCACAGGAGCCCACCGAGGGGGTGGGAGGCTCAGGCACGGCGGGCTGCAGGTCCCGAGCCCTGCTCCACGGGAAGGCGGCTAAGGCCCCGGCGAGAAATCGAGCGCAGCGCCGGTGGGCTGGCACTGCTGGGGGCCCAGTACACCCTCCGCAGCCGCTGGCCCGGGTGCTAATCCCCTCACTGCCCAGGGCCCGGCTGCTCCGAGTGCGGGGCCCGCCAAGCCCACGCCCACCCGGAACTCCAGCTGGCCCGCAAGAGCCGCGCGCAGCCCCGGTTCCCGCTCGCGCCTCTCCCTCCACGCCTCCCTGCAAGCTGAGGGAGCCGGCTCCGGTATTGGCCGGCCCAGAAAGGGGCTCCCACAGCGCAGCGGTGGGCTGAAGGGCTCCTCAAGTGCCGCCAAAGTGGGAGCCCAGGCAGAGGAGGCGCCGAGAGCGAGCTAGGGCTGTGAGGACTGCCAGCACGCTGTCACCTCTCAATATTTCAGCTGGGCACAGTGGCTCACGCCTGTAATCCTAGCACTTTGGGAGGCCAAGGTGGGCGGATCACCTGCGGTCAGGAGTTGGAGACCAGCCTGGCCAACATGGCAAAACCCCCTCTCTACTAAAAATACAAAAATTAGCCAGGTGTGGTGGTGCATGCCGGTAATCCCAGCTACTGGGGAGGCTGAGACAGGAGAATTGTTTGAACCCGGGAGGCAGAAGTTGCAGTGAGCTGAGATCACGCGACTGCACTCCATCTTGGGTGACAGAACAAGACTTCGTCTCAAAAACAAAAGATAATTAATAAATTAAATAATATTTAATAATTAAATTAAACTTTATTTTTAAGTACCACATTTCTGTATACACAAATACTACTTCAAGAGAAATGAAAATACTGTATACCAATAGCACAATGTTCTAAAATTCTGGCAATCAAATTCTTTAGTAGAAGGTGATATTTAACCATTATTTTTACTTTTTTATTTCTGGAAAAGGATATGCTATATCATCCTTTGGGTAATTTGAGTTTCTTTTGTTACTACCAGTCTGTGGCAATAGGGAATCAAGAAAAGTCTGTAGTCGTACCTTCCTAACGTCAAGTTTCTGGCTGTGACCCACTAAAAAACAGTATGGCCCGCAATGGTCTGAGGAGAAATATCTTCATAGCAAACAGTTCTCTGGACACTGAGAAAAGCAGAGCAAGACCATAACCCAAGACAAATTTGGTGACCCAGAATCCATGGGACACATTAGCAAGCTACTCACCAAGTTTACTGATGACCAGCTAGTTCCTCAGAATCCTAGAAGATAAGAGCTAGGCTGGAAGACAGATTAAATTCAAGAGTAATTTAGCAGTCACCAGAGCTTAAAGAAAATGCATATGCATGACTTTATAAATCATGGAGTCCTCAGAGACTGTCTGAAACAAAGCCAATTATAGGGTTTTCCTCCTCCTCCTTGAGAGAATAATTCTCCAGAAATTCCTACCTGCCTGACTGCAGTGTTAACTCACAAGTATTTGTATACAAAGCTGAAATTTGTTACTATATTAATACTCTTGATTGTTGGTATTCAGGTCTACCAGATACTACAAGTAGCAAAGGCAGAGCAGAAAATTCTAGAGAAAAACACGCTAATAACAGGAGATGCAAAAGAGACAGGTATGAATGCTGAAGGAAGAAACAGAAATAATAAAAAGTAGACACTGGACTTTCACTAGAGTTAGATGGGTTGAAGCCGACGTTAATGCTTCTTCTAACATATGACGCCACATGAAAATTATGCCAAGAACAAACGAGGAACTAAATTTGAAGAAAAAAGCAATGAAAAAGTAGGGTTGGGAAACCAGGGCTAAAGCTGAACGTGTCCCCTGGCGTGTGAAATGGAGATTACAATCCATTTTAGCTGAGTTCAAGGAAATGTAGACACTCAAGTTTAATTCCAAGAAATCATTCAGTTTAGAAAATCCTTTTTCTCAATGTTGACAAGCTCAAGTAAGATGATGGCCCATAGCATCAGGGCAATGCCAGACAATGAAAATCACAATGGGGAAGTGTTGGTGGAAAGACAGTGGATGTGGGAAGGTCCACGCCAGGCTCTGAGGTATGGGATTGGACATTCCCAGAGACACAGAAGGGAGGGGGCAATAGAGAAGAAATAACTGGCTCCAAATGACCTGGGCCTCTGCTTGGGGGTTCTGCTGTGAATTTTGTTAAGACTTTTGCTGCTCTTAATTTAAGGTGTAAAAATGTAAGATATAAAGAAATGCAAGTCTATTAAACCTCTTGACTTAGTAAAGAGTAACTCACTGTCTGCTGGGTTTCACCTCTTGGCTTCCAAAGAGGGTCAGGCAAGTTTGGGATGCTTTATTGCCCAGCTTGCTTTCAGAACCTCTTTCTTCTTGCTCCTTTCAGAAATTATTCTCCAACCCCATGTGGTTGTGATTGAGTTTCTCAGACTATTTTCTACTCCCCTACAAGGGTAGGCCCCAACTGCAATAATTGCTTTATACAAAGACAAGTAATTCATGTAGAGGGAAATTTCTGGGATTGATCCATAAGTGTCAGGAGCAAGACTTCCAATTCTTGCTGGAGTGGCTAATCTAGGAGGATGTGAGCCTGTGGTTGTTGCTTTGTCTGCCAGGCGTAGACAGCTTGCATGGGGAATGGAGCCAAGCAAAGCCAGAGAATGGAGACAGTGGTTTAATGTCTGTGCTCAAGGCCCTGGAGGCAGCTATCTTTAAGATATTTAAGATCTTGCTCCAGGCCTCACAGGTATTGAGCCAATAATTCATATGTTGCTGCTTGGTTCAATCATGCTCTTAATGATGGACCTGGGTCTCAAAAAATAAAACAACAAAACATAGCCTTCTAAGAAGATATAAACACATTAGGCCTGTGTTCCTAGAGGGCAAATTGCCATTTTAGTTACCATTGCATCACACAACCCAGCCTAGTGTCCGTCCCATAAGGACTGTTCATGGTTGAATTTAAATGTATATGTACTCTATTTTAGAAATATTATCATCATAGATAGTTAAACATAAGTCAAATGTTGATATTTGATAGACAACACTTTTTTTTTTGAGACGCAGTCTCGCTCTGTTGCCCAGGCTGGAGTGCAGTGGCGCGATCTCGGCTCACTGCAAGCTCCGCCTCCTGGGTTCACGCCATTCTCCTGCCTCAACCTCCCAAGTAGCTGGGACTACAGGTGCCCGTCACCATGCCCGGCTAATTTTTTGTATTTTTAGTAGAGACAGGGTTTCACCGTGTTAGCCAGGATGGTCTCGATCTCTTGACCTCGTGATCTGCCCCCCTTGGCCTCCTAAAGTGCTGAGATTACAGGCATGAGCCACCACGCCCGGCTGGTAGACAACATTTTAACTATGCAGTTCATTTCATTAGTTAGGGATGATGTATAAATAGTTCATGAGTGTCTGGATGACAACACTTTTTATTCCAGCTCTTGGAAAAAATTAATCTACCCAAACTTCTTGAAAGTATATGATTAACAAAATCAACAGGTATTTACATCCAGCTGTAGTTCTTGTTTCTCTACCTAACTTATTTAATGTAAAATGGCCATTTATTTATATAATATAACCATATAATATCCTTTCAAAGATGATAGTAATATAATAAGAAAGATGAGCATAACATAAAATATTTGCCCAAGATTATGTACTTATATGTAGGCAATATAGCAAGATACATTTTAAAATATTTTAAAAAGGTTCTGTTAAATAATCTCTTGAAACATTTTCTTTTCATAATATTGGCAGAGGTAGTGAGAACTCTAAAACTCTTGGATAGGCTTTTGCTATATTGTGCTGAAATAATTCTACAAACCTTAGAGAAGGAATTGGAAGAACTAGACAGAGTGTTCAGTCCAATAAAAATTATACATTGAAACAGTCATCTTACTTGTATTTACTAGATAAAATTATATACGGTAGCATTTAGAACCCTGTGGGGAAGCCTAGCATTTAATATTTTTAAGAAAATATAATTTTTAGCAAAAAGTCATTTATCAAAGTTGGTTTTAAAGGAATAATACCTAGCACTTTGGGAGGTCAAGGCGAGGATCACTTAAGCTCAGGAGTTCAAGACCAGCCTTGGCAAGACGGCAAGATCCCATCTTTCTTGCCTGTACTCCCAACTGCTCGGGAGGCTAATATGGGAGGATTTCTTGAGCCCTGGAGTTCAAGGCTGCAGTGAGCTGTGATCGAGTCACTGCACTTCAGCTTGGGCAACAGAATGAGACACCATCTCTAAAAAAGAAAATTTTTTAAAAATAATAATAAAAGCATATTTGTATCCATGTTCTAATTGTAGGCCACTGCAACATTTTTTTCTTACGTATTTGGCCACATAGTCTTCTGACTCAATTTAGTACTCTGTCAAGTAAATTTCTGTGATTCTTAAAGCCATATTGGGTAATTGTTTCAGGTTTTATGATTCATAAAAATAAGTTCATTGAGAATTAAAGACGTGGAGATTCATTTGTACTTCATTTCCTATATGATGACATAACTAGAAAAGCTGTATGATTAAATAACAATTTATTAGATATGCGTGGTTCTCTTTATTACACAAAGCCCTTTCACATATTTTCAGCCCGTCTCTCGTCCAGCCCTGCCTAAATGGGAATTGTTTCTATTTTGTAAATGAGGTAACTAAAGTTAAATGAATAATTACCCCCTGCTCCTTATCCCTACTTTAAAGGAGAATTTAATGTGCTTTAAATGAACAAGTAGCATTATTTATTCCATAAAAACAATAAGCTGACTACCGCAGCGCATATGAAAATGAATGAAATCCATTTTCTGGTTTCATGGAGCTTGCACTCCAAAAGGAGAGGCATGATGAAATATATTGACAGACAACTGTGTTTTTTAAAAAAAGCAAACTCAGAGTTTTGGAGCTGAGCAAAATCTCATCTGTTTGAAAGATTTGTAAAAATATATTATATTTGAAGTGGGACTTTAAAAATAGGTCATAGTGTTTTCCTTAATAAAAAAAGAAAAATACAAAGGATAATGCCCTTTTGTCTAGTATGAAATTTTGTCTCATGAGGAGAATAAGGGAAGTGGATGAGTTCATCAGTGAGTTACTCGTCAGAGACAAAGAAGCGACTGCATTGAAATGCTAAAGTCTAATTCCAGGTTTGTACTCCAAGGAGCAGCTAAGGGAGCAAATCAGGCATGTGGAGGGCTGGGAGGTATCAGAGTGAAGCTCTAAATCTTTTCGCCATTAGCTCCTTCAACTGAGTCTTTTTTACATACATGATGTAAATATTCTAGAACAAGTCCTTCTATTCTAAATCCAGCTTCAGCAACAAATTGAGAGACCTCTGGTAACATTCAGAAATACTTGGTCTTTCACCAGAACCCATGGTTAGTTTTCTTTAGCATCAAGTGTATCTCTAAATAAAATGTTATCACACACACAGGTAAACAGAGAATACTACACTTTACATTGACAACTTTTCTTCTTATTGGAGAGGACAGACATTGTGTTAGTCTTACTTGGAATATTCTGTTCGATTCAGCTTTACAAGGCAATGGAATTCTAGGGAGTTTCCTGCCTTCTCTGTCTTCATCTCTTAAAAACATGTTGAAATCCAGAACCTAGGTCTCAGTTTCTTCCTTCGAATGAATTGCTCTTTCTCATATATTACATGACACCTGTCAGTGGTCTCAGTTTGGCTTATTAGAAATGGAGTTTATGAAGTCAAGGTCACAGGTTCACTGTTATCCGAAGCCAGTTAGCTCATCCTTGCTTCATCACTGATGTCTGAACCCACCATTTGGTAGTCTTTTTACAGAAATCAGAGGTGAACTTGATATAACAAATGTGACTGTCCATGCACATTATTGCACCTATAGACAGATACACAAAGCTAGAAGTCGTACTCAGTAATAATGCACCAATCACAAATTTAGGGTAAGGGAGAGCAGGTTTTGAGTCCCACCATTAAATGACATGTAACCTTGGATGAATTAGATTTTAAATCTTAGGAAGTAACAAATGTCACCTTGTTTCTAGTCATCTGCACGGATAGTTCAAACTCAAATTTGCAAAACCACACTCATTCCCTTCTCAGCACTTTAAGTCTAATTTCACTCTTAAATTTCCCGGATTGGTGGCCAGGACCACTCTCAATCCTGTTACTGACGTCAGAAATCTAAGAATTTTCCTAGCTTCTTCCTCTTGTCTTTTCATTTATTAAAAAATAACACAAAACATCGGTCTCCTAAAATATTTCATATACCACCCAGTCTCATCTCAACTCACTCTTCCTTATTCCTGGTCTCTTCTATTTCTTGCTTGAATTACTGGAACAAATACCTAACTGTGCTCCTGCCTCTCTACACTCATTCCCCTTCTTTCTAGTCCTATCTACAGACTTCCTTCAATGACCATAGAGTGATGTCTGTTAGATGTGTATCTGATTATGCAACTTTCAGGCTTGATATTTTTCAATATTCTGCAAGGCCTTAAAGGTTGCAATTCAAACTTCTTCTCTTCTGACTTCTAATAGCCTCATAGTTCACATCAAACTCTGCCTCTTGCCATATTTTTCTCTCTAGTACTTTCTTTTTTCTTTTTTTTTTTTTTTTTGCCATTGCTTTCTGGTCTTCCCTCTATATGGAAAGTTCTTCTCCCGTTGAGCACCAGGGAAACTGCTACTCACCCAAAGCCAAAGTTTAGATGGCTCTTCATGTGCAAGATTATCTACAATTCACTGGGTCAACTCAGGTTTTCTTCCCGCAAGACCTCTCCACACCTTAGAAAATTTTCCATTGTATTTTAATTGTTTCTTCTATTTCTTTGCAACACATTCTAAGATCATTACAAATGGAAATTGCAACTTGATCTTTCTATTTCCCCTATACTTATCATAGTGACTGGCACAGAATGACACCTAATAGATATTTACGGAAAAAAATAAAGTGTGAATTTTTTTATTATTATTGAGGTGGAGTCTTGCTGTGTTGCTCAGGCTGGAGTGCAGTGGCTCAATCTCAGCTCACTGCAGTCTCCGCCTCCTGGGTTCAAGGATTCTCCTGCCTCAGCCTCACGAGTAGATGGGATTACAGGCATGCACCACCACACCAGACTAATTTTTGTATTTTTAGCAGAGATGGGGTTTCACCACGTTGGCCAGGCTGGTCTCGACCTCCTGACCTCAAGTAATCCGCCTGCCTCAGTCTCCCAAAATTCTGGGATGACAGGCGTGAGCCACCACGCCTGGCTAAAATGTGAATTCTAATTGGAAAGAACTGTAGTCTGCTAAGCACCTGGTAGTTTATATGTTTCAGTTTTAAGAGCAAGAGAGGGTTAATTGTTCATCAAGGACAATCCAGAGCTGTAGGGACATGAAGGGTAAAGATGATCCTGGGTGCTGACTGGGAGAAAGGCTAAATTAGGAACCTCAAAATCAGGAGGAGGATGGCTCAGAAAACATGGATGTCTCACTGACATTTTTACCTTGCTTCCTGCAGAGTTCTGTGCGGTGTGATCATTTGCTAATGCTCCCCAGCTCTTCAATCATGATTATTAAAATAAAGCAGGTTTGTGTACACAGGTTTGTGTGTGTGTGTGTGTATGTGTTTATGTTTGCGTAAGAGAGAAAGAGAGGAGACAGGGAGTGAGAGCAAGGGTAAGCATGAGAGAGAGAGACAGAATGAGAGAATCTCCTGTTTACCTTTGAAAACAGGTGGGGATTTGTTTCATTTCTGGGTAGGTGTGCTACGTACAGCATCACCTAAGTGCATAGGTGCATCATTTTACACTCAGATACCCAAGCAGCAGAGGAAACCATGTGAACTCCTCGAGAAATCTTGAGCATACGCTTTGAAATAAAGGGTTTGAATCAGTCTTAGCAGTGAAGAGTAAGGAAGCTCCCCATCTAGCGTCTGAGTGACAGTAGGAAGCCTGATGCAGCTTCGTGTTCTAATAAACACAACTTTCTACCTTGCTCCAACTTTTCATCTCCAAAGTCTGAAACATGCCCTCGTGATGAATTAGGGAGGTTCATCCACCCTTTCTGTTTTCTGGTTGGTTGATCACTATTCTGTGGGTGTGAATATCCAACTATTTCTACCTGGACCAATAAAGTGATCACCAGAAACATACTCCTTGATGGATGAAATCATTTCCTGGTGCATTCCTGCAGTGTAAATAATTCAGTAGTCTTGTCTCTCATAGAAGGTCAGTCCTGAGCTCCTCCATCCTTTAGAATTGTGGTTTTGGCATGCACGCATCACAGTGCATTCCTTCTCATTGCCTTAGACATTAGCTTTTCAGGGTTTTGTTCGTGAAGCTTCCCAGGTTTTCATTAGTTCATTCGACTTGTTGCACTATACTTATATCAGGACTCTCGGGGAGCTTTATTATCCATTATATTACTTCACTGCATGGGCCAGGCACCTTCATAATTAGGCTGAAAGAAACTAAAAGCATTGCTCTCCTGGGCACAGCTTGGGCAGCATCATCAGATCAGAGGGTGTTGTAAGCTGGGAGATGGCCATTAATGATCTCCAAAGTGCCAGAGCTCTGCCAGTTTCAACTGATTCTCAGCAAACTTCATTTCCTTTTGGGGTGTAAGATTTAAAAAATAAATAAATAAATAAAGTTTAACCCTGCATCATTCACATGTGTTTACTGTAATTACCTATCCCCAGACCCTTGTGTTCGCACTTCTTCTTCTAGGAAAGGAATATGGTGACTTTGCTGTTTAATTTATAGGACATTTTGTAACCATTATTGCAAAATCATTTTGTTCTATTCTCATTTAACTTTCAGAAAGTTCACAAATTCAATTTATTATTTTCTACTGACTTTAATCTCCTTGCCAGCTGCCCTGCCCTCCTTTCTCTTCTCAAAAACAGTCACAGGGCCACAAGATATACCATGGAGTTACTTCATGGTCGTAATTAGTATTTCTTCGCCAGGTCACTGACGGATAAAAACAAATCTCCCTTTGATCTAGGCCACCCTCTTGCAATTCTCCCAACACTGGTTCCCTTAAGGCTCATAAACTTTGATGTAAGAAGCCAATCAATCATTTTTTTCTCCCACACCCCCTTTTTCCAATATTTTCATCTGAAGTAGATGCATTTTTATGGATTTATTTTTATTTTAATAAATGTTTATAAATTTGCTGAGAGATACTCCTAATACCAGTGACCCTGCATCTCTGGAAGACCAGGCATTTCCCACTACAATTCTGTTCCAATGTCCTCATCAGCACTTCATAGTTTCTTACGTAGGGCTATTTCTCTTTACCAAGATTTTCTCATCTCACTGAGCTCTGGCTATCCCTCCCAAATCAGAACATCACAAACCTGCTTATTTTTTAAAATTACTTCTTTATTTTTAGCTTTTCCTGGGCTTACTGCATCCGCTTATCTATGTTATAAATAGATTCAGAAGAAAGGAAGTTTGAATAAATTGGGACATAGCATGTCAAGATGTCAGTTCTTCATAAATGTATGGATAAACTTAATATCATGACAAGTAAACTCTCTGAAAAATGATGTCTTTTGAGCAGGGACACACTTGCGCTGGAGGTTCTAGCAAAGAATTCATTCTCGCCCTTTCCATCTTTTGTCAGCTGCCGACATTGCTTGGCTTGTGGCTACATCACTCCAGTCTCTGCCTCTGTGTCACACTGCCTTCTCCTTTTCTGTCTGAAGTCAAGTCTCCCTCTACCTCCCTCTTGTAAGGAAGCTTGTGATTATTTTAGTGAGCACATGTATAATGTAGGATAATCTTCTCATCTCAAGATTGTTGACTTAATCACACCTGTAAAGACCATTTTTCCACAAAAGGTGACAGTGACAGATTCTAGGAATTAGGACATATGTATCTTTAGGGTGAGGAGCATTTTTTTTTTTTTTTTTTTTTTTTTTTTTTTTGAGACGGAGTCTCGCTCTGTCGCCCAGGCTGGAGTGCAGTGGCGGGATCTCGGCTCACTGCAAGCTGTGAGGAGCATTTTTTACCCTGCCCTACTGGCTCACTCATATTCTGCCAGTAGGAATGTAGTTGGGACAACATCAGGAAACAAGCTGTCAATGTGCATCACAAACCTGAAATGACCACACACTGTAGTACCACTACAATGGTAATAGTAAGTCATTGATGGGAATCATTACATTTATGAAAACTTTATCAAAATTATTTTAAAAATAGTTACTCTAAATATTTAACAATGAATAAAAATATCAACAAATAAAATGAAGTCTTGTCATTGTTTTAAATTGTTGTGAGAAATGTACAATTGAATAGGGTTCATGAGAAAATATTAAAGGAAAAAACAATAAACCAATAAATGTATTATACATCGTTATCATAACTATATTTATTTTTATGCCATTTTCATATTATTAATATGTTTATGGGCACATAAATACAAATTACCCACAGAAGTCTGTAGGCAATTTTATGCTTTAATAGCCCCAGAAGAATAGGTACTACCAATTGTTTTTACATTTTTAAATGACTATTTATTTTACTTTTTGTAGTTTTGTGAATTTTGAATTATACATTTGTTGTTGCTTTTGTTAGGCAAGCAGTCTTTGTATTTTTCCAGGAATTGTCCACTTCGTCTAAATTATCATTTTTTGGTAATTTTTATAATACCCTCTTATTTTTTAGCAAATGTTTAATTTTAGAATAGCTTCAGATTTACAGAAAAATTGCAAAACTAATACAGAGAATTCTGAATACCCTACAGCCAGTGTCCCATATTAGAAACTTAAATTAGTACGGAATATTTGTTACCACTGATGAAGCAATATTGATACATTGTTATTACTTAGGGTCCATAGTGTATTTAGATTTCCTTATTTTTTCCCTAATTTCCTTTTTCTTTTCCAGGATCCCATCCAACCATGTCACTGAAGTAGTGTTTGTCAGGTTTCTCCACTGTAAAGTTACTACCTGCCCCTCTTCCCTTTCCTTACCTCTCTCTTTGGAAGATATCACTATAGACAGCCCACACTTACGGGAGGAGAAGTTTATGCTCCACTTTCTTGAGGGGTGACTATCCACATAAATTAACTGAAATTCTTTTGCATGATAAATATTTATTTTATACTTTGGATATGATATTCATTTTCTTGCTCAAAGTTGTTCATCTTTGGCCATTGGGAGCTCTGCAATTGGCTTCTGTGTCTCTTTGACATGCTCCTGACCCCACTCCATCACTGGGTTTTATTTTAGTACATCCCTATCTCCCGGTACTACAAGAAGCTCCAAGCTTATCTGGTATATTCCTTATTCCTGCCTTAGAAACAGTCATTTCATTTCTACCTCGATCCCTGGTTCTTTTTATTGGATAGTAGTATTAGATTCTGATCTGAATATTGGGTGTTCTTGTTGTTACTGGGGCAAATAACATATATATATATATATATATATATATGTATATATATATATATGTATATATATATATATACACACATATATATATACATATATGTATGTATATATATATATATATATATATACATATTTTTATTTATTTATTTATTTTTTTTTTTTTGAGACAGAGTCTCTCGTGTCGCCCAGGCTGGAGTGCAGTGGCACAATCTCAGCTCACTACAAGCTCTGCCTCCCAGGTTCATGCCATTCTCCAGCCTCAGCCTCCCGAGTAGCTGGGACTACAGGCGCCCACCACCACGCCCGGCTAATTTTTTTGCTTGTATTTTTAGTAGAGATGGGGTTTCACCGTGTTAGCCAGGATGGTCTCAATCTCCTGACCTCATGATCCGCCCATCTCGGCCTCCCAAAGAGCTGGGATTACAGGTGTGAGCCACTGGGCCTGGCCGCAAATAACATATTTTTAATTTTAATTTTTTTACTTCAATTAATGTTTGCTCTCCTTAATTAGAGGAACTGAAAACATACATTGAAGTTTATCATTCTATATTCACCAAATTAATAATCTAAAGAGATTTAAATAACCATACTTTTAAGTAATGCTTTTGTTAATTTGTAGCATTTACATATATGAGAATATTAAAACTTAAAATTGTACTAAGCCTTTTGAGACACCCTGTTTATACAAATATTTATTTAACAATGATACTTTTTTATTATCCTCTGTATTTTTTCAAACTTTCTATGCAATGCAGATATTCTAAAATTCTCATCGCTTTTCGGCCTTTTGGCTAAGATCAAGTGTAAAATTCTCATTAGTTCCTTTTATTAATAAAAATTAAAAGTTGAGAAAATTTGTGTTATGCCAAGAGTCACTAAAAATAATTATAATGCTACTTAATAAATATTAATTGAGTCTTTTCTAAAAGAAAGACACCATAATAATAGATGTTAATGGTAAAATTCAAGTCTAAAATATAATGCTCCTGCAAGCAATTTATAATCTATTAGATAAAACACATTTATTCAACTAACTATAAAAAATAATGTGATAAATATTAACCAAAAAGAACAACATAAAGCTTAATTCTAGTGAAGGAGAGCATAATGAATTCTGACTTGAACCTCAACAAATTTCCTGGAAAAGGTGGCATTTATTTTGTCCCTAAAGACTGAGTAAGATTTTGACAGCCAGGGTAAGGGCATTTCAAAAGAGTATGAAGCAGAAATAATGAAATAGAAAAGGTCAGAGACAGAAAGATGTCCATTTTGACAAAGACAAAGAATGAATGGGAATGTTTATTAGAAGTCTGGGGCTTGAGGCTGCTCTGTCTATGGAGTAGCCATTCTTTTATTCCTTTACTTTCTTAATAAACTTGCTTTCACTTTGCAAAAAACAAAGAAGTCTGGGGTTTGAAAAGTAGATTGGGAAAAGATCCTTTCAAAGAATCAGCTTTTCTTTCATTATTATTTTATTTTTCCATAAGTTATTGGGGTACAGGTGGTATTTGGTTACATGAGTAAGTTATTTAGTGGTGATCTGTGAGATCCTGGTGCACCCATCACCCGAGCAGGATACACTACACCATATTTGTTGCCTTTTATCCCTCGTCCCCCTCCCACTCTTTCCCCAAGTCCCCAAAGTCCATTGTGTCATTCTTATGCCTTTGCATCCTCATAGCTTAGCTCCCACATATCAGTGAGAACATGTAATATTGAGTTTTCCATTCCTGAGTTCCTTCACTTAGAATAATAGTCTCCAATCTCATCCAGGTCATTGCAAATGCTGTTAATTCATTCCTTTTTATGGCTGAGTAGTATTCCATCATAGACAGACAGACAGACAGACAGACAGACAGACAGACAGAGATAGAGATATATCACTGTTTCTTTATCCACTCTTTGATTGATGGGTATTTGAGTTGGTTCCATGATTTTGCAATTGTGAATTGTGCTACTATAAACATGCATGTGCAAGTATCTTTTTCAAATAATGACTTCTTTTTCTCTCAGTAGATACCCAGTAGTGGGATTGCTGGATCAAATGGGAATTCTACTTTTTGTTAATTAAGGAATCTCCACACTGTTTTCCACAGTGGCTGTACCAATTTACATTCCCACCAGCAGTGTAGAAGTGTTCCCTGTTCACCGCATCCACACCAACATCTACTGTATTTTTTATTTATTCATTATGGCCATTCTTGCAGGAATAAGGTGGTATTGCATTGTGGTTTTGATTTGCATTTCCCTGATCGTTAGTGATGTTGGGCATTTTTTCATGTGTTTCTTGGCCATTTGTATTCTACAATGAACTCAGACAAATCACTAAGAAAAAAACAAACAATCCCGTCAAAAAGTGGGCTAAGGATATAAATAGACAATTCTCAAAATCTGCTTTTCTAGTATCTGTTTAGTCAACAGGGGTGGAAAGGAGGAGAGGACGTGACATATTAATAAGGGCTATCTGCCTGCACACTGTGCTGAAGTTTTTGTTTTTTAATGCATGTACTCATTTAATCTTTATGATCTATCAGATAGGTCATAAAGATATAAACAATAACTACTGTTACTCGTGGCTTTCAAAAGATGAACTGAGGCATCAAAAAGTGAAATAATCCAATTGATCAAGGGAGATAAAAGGAAGGAGGTAGAAGATGACTCCAAGATGACTAGTCTCATTTTTTGGATGAAATTTGATGCCTTTAGTGCAAGGAGGAAGGGAAATTTTGGTGGAGTAAAAAATTATATATTAAAAATCATTGAATTAGGCTGAGACAGGTGGATCACCTGAGGTCAGGAGTTTGAGACCAGCTTGGCCAACATGGCGAAACCCTGTCTCTACTAAAAATACAAAAATTAGCTGGGCATGGTGGCGCGTACCTGTAGTCCCAGCAACTCGGGAGGCTGAGGCAGGACAATTGCTTGAACCCAGGAGATGGAGGTTGCAGTGAGCCGAGATCTGGCCACTGCACTCCAGCCTGGGTGGTGAGTGACAGAATGCAACTCATCTCAAAAAAAAAAAAAAAAATCATTGAGTTATTGCTTAACTCGAAGCACCAGGAAGTAGGAAATTTGAAAACCAGAGTCATTAACAGAGAGCAGGTCATGGACATGATTGAGGTCTCACTGGTAAAGAGTGTAGATTAGAAAGAAAGGGGGTCGGGGAATCTCAAGGACAGGAGGAAAACAATAATAACAAATACTATTATAGAGTGTCTCCTATGTATCATGCATATGGTATATAGACTCACCTTAAATAAAGACTTTAACACCTATTTAATTGTTTAGTCTAAACCTGCCTCCTAATATATTTTAAGTCTAGCCTAAAGATTTCTCCATACACAGAGAACTATAAAGGTAACCTAACTGGATGTGTAAACTTTCTGTAACTTATTCTCCTACCAACCACAGAGTTCAGCCAGTTGCAGGCAGGCAACAGCAACTGTTCAAACTGTGTTCAAATAAGGCAAATGCTGAGCTGTAACCAATTCAGCTGTTTCTGTACCTCACTTCCATGTTCTGTGCACTGCTTTCCTTTTACTGTCTATAAATCTACTTAGACCACGTGGCAGCGGCAAAGTCTCACTGAGCCTATTCTGGTTTAGGAACTGCCCAATTCATGAATTGTGCTTTTGGCTTTGTTAAATTCTGTTAAATGTAATTTGTCTAAGGTCTTTCTTTTAACACAATATTTTCACCTTAAAAGAAAGATTATATCACTTTTCAGACCTTTAAAAAAATCGGCTGGGAGCAGTGGTGCATGCCTGTAATCCCAGCACTTTGGGAGGCCGAGGCAGATGGATCACCTGAGGTCAGGAGATCGAGACCAGCCTGGCCAACATGGTGAAACTCTGTCTCTACTAAAAATACAAACATTAGCTGGGGGTAGTGGCGGACAACTGTAATCCCAGCTACTTGGGAGGCTGAGGCAGGAGGATCTCTTGAACCCAGGAGGTGGAGGTTGCAGTGAGCAGAGATCGCACCATTGCACTCCAGCCTGGGCAACAAGAGTGAAACTCCGACTCAAAAATAAAATAAAGTAATAATAACAACAGTCATACTCCCTAAATAAATGATAGTGACAAGTAATACTTCTAATGTTTCAGTTTTGGGCAAAAACACATTTACTAATTTCCCTTACACAATAGTTTCTAGAATGAAAAACTATATGAAACAACTTTGAATTGTCCACCAGTGTTTGGGCAAATGTGTTGCTTGCAAATGTGCCCTGAGAGTGAGGAGGACAGCTGCATCTTCTGGACTCTAAGGTATATTGTATGATTGTACAATTTCCACTTCTTTCAAAGTGCTCTCTCGTTCATCCTTTATTTTGCCCTAAGGATGTTTTTTATGCTCTTTCTTTTCAAGTGTAGTTTTAGTGCAACATACCAAGAGCCTCACAAAGATTGAAAAGTAGATAGAGAATGCTGAAAGAAGAAAAAAAAGAGTATCACAAACTTTCATTATGTTATGTTATATACGTAAACTTTACTTACTTTCAAACAGCGTATACAATGTATTTTGGTTGTTTAATTGATATATTTTTCTATATATGAAAATCATTGGGAGCCTAAGGTTAGGATGGATTATGCCACAATTTTTTTGTATAAAATACCGCATTTTAAAAAATTCTATTTGTTGGCCGGGCGAGCTGGCTCATGCCTGTAATCCCAGCACTTTGGGAGGCTGAGGAGGGTGGATGACCTGAGGTCAGGAGTTTGAGACCAGCCTGGGCAACATGGTGAAACCCTGACTCTACTGAAAATACAAAAATTAGCTGGGCATGGTGGCGCACACCTGTAATTCCAGCTGCTCAGGAGGCTGAGGCAGGAGAATTGCTTGAACCTGGGAGGTGGAGGTTGCAGTGAGCCGAGATCGTGCCAGTGTACTCCAGCCTGGGTGGGGAGAGCAAAACTCCATCTCAAAAAAACAAATTATATTTGTCTTTTGTTTACTGGCTTTGCACTTAATGACAGAGCTTTCAGGTACAAATAAAAGCCATTAGGTGAGGGATAGGTGTACATTATCTTTTTTTTATAAGAACTCCTGTCACAGGTTTAAAAGGTACAAAACTTAACCTTTATGTTCCAGCATCACGGGTTATTTCTCCCATTTCTCATGGGGGTGTTGATGAGCTTATATGCAAAGTGTGGGGTGGGGAGAGAGGGGTGAGGAGGCTATCCAGCTGCAATACAAATCCACTGAATTGGGATCCATCTATTTACTGATGTAGCCTGCTCAAGGTCTATGCTGGCTATTTCAGTGGCTGCCCTCAGCAGCTGGACCTCGGCTCAGACCCACCACATGCCACATCCTGGAGGATGCACCTTTGGCAGGTCCCCTGGCTAACAGATGGAAGTGACGCAGCTCCCACCTGCTCCCTGGAAATGGGACGTCCACAGAGATGTCAGTCATACCCTTCATGACTACCAGTGATGACTGTTCACACTGCATCCTAGGAAGTATGTTCTTCCACGCAGGCTGTGAGAATCCAGGAAGGTCCACTGACTTGCTTATTTGTTGTTGCAACTGGACCTCAAGTTCCTTGGCTCTCTCTAAGTAAAAATTAGCTCCAGGACAAACCAATTTTCCTAGGCAAGGTTTAATAGGCTTGCGACTGGAGATGTGCCAGGGAGCAGCATACAGGGGAGGGGTCCTGATGCTCCTTCCCCAAAGGGCCCAGCTCTAGTCATCTTAAAGAAGTAGAGGCAGAAAAAGGAGTGATGTGCAAGCATGTTTAGGGGTTTTCTTAGAGCTTGTGCAATGAGACATTACGCCCTAACTGACATAGAGTGATCTGAGAGCGGCAGATTAGCTCCACCTTTGGCAGAGATTTTAGTATTATAATAAGAAAAAAAGTTGATGAAAGGTCAGTTCTAGAGTCCATCTTATCTTCAGCTGGCTGCATCTGGTTCGGTTCTTATCAGAAACACCAAAGTCTCCCTTTAGCAACCTTGAAAGATGATGAAGTCCTTAAGGAATGCTAGAGTTCTGCTTCAACAGCCTTGGAAGACACGACTTCAAGGAGATAAATGGTGAGGTTCTTCTTTTTATGGTTAGGAATTCAGGCTGGTCAGCTAAGTTGAGAGAGGCCTCCTTTCTGCTACATAACTTGGGTCAGCCTGTTAAGGGAGGCAAGAAAACATGGGATGGAACATGGCGGACATGTGAGGCCCATTGGGATCTTAGTGACCTTGTCTTGTGTCTGCCAGGACTGAGTCTCTTCCCTGACCTGTCTCACATCAGAAAATTTCAGTGCCTGGAGCCCATGAGAAATCACACACCGCTCTGCAACAGCAGGAAATTTGCATCTTGGGCTCACTGCTCATTTCTGCTGTGCTGCTCCAAGATGGCTCCAGGCAACTGCCCTGCCCACCAAGGCTAGTGGACTTCCAAAGGGACACTCTAGGAAGTGAGATCCAGCTCCTGTCTATGCTTAAATGTAAGCTCTCTGAAGGCAGGGTCTCTGTCTTCTTCTGCTCACCTGGACATCTCCAGAGTAGGTGTTCAGTGAAAAAAAAAACAAAAAAAAAACAAAAAAAACTCTTACTAATCACTGAATGTCATCTAGGAGTTGGTTAATGATACAAGAATGGTGTATGAAGACCCCATATTGACTTCCCTCTTGCCTTCCTCTTCAAAAAGACTTGACCCCCATTCCCTTCCACAAGGTCTCGTTCAAATTCTTCAAGCACTCTTTTAAACTGGTTCAAACTCTTCAAGCACTCTTTTAAATATGTTTTTATCTTATTCCTGGATAGTTTTCTAGAACTTAGAAGTCAAAAATTGAACATCTGCATTTGCAGGTTCTACTGTAACCACTTTCCTCAGCATGAATTAAATCTTTTCATTATACCTGGGCTGTGGAAGAGGGAAGGAGAATATTTGAGGTAACAATAAAAAATAACTATTCCACTATAGTGTTAATATCCCTATTTCATGGAAGATGATTCTAAGGTTCAGAAAGATTGAGTGCCTAATCAAAAACCATACAGCTTGTAAATGTTGGTGATGAATTTCTAACACCTCTGCTGTTTTCAAAACCTATACAATGTCTCTTTTTATACCACTATAAGATGCTATTACACTGGCTGGGGAGCTGGGAAGGCACTGCTTCCTTCATTGCACTTCCTAATCATATTTCAGCTCAAATATTGTTTCCTCTGGAAACACTTATCTAATCCTCTTAACCAATCATTCTCAATCAGAAGGTGATTTTGCTCCCCAGGGAACACTGGTAACGTTTGCAGATAGTTTTAGTTTTCCATACTGGAAGGGATCATTAGGAAGGGGAGTCAGACACCCAACCAGCACCTACTAGTATGGCCAGGGGTGCTGCTAAACATTCTACAATGGACACTACAACCCCCACAGTAATGAATGACACAGCCTCAAATATTCATTTGTGCTGAAGTTGAGAAACTCTGCTCTCAACAATGCCATCTCCCCCTGCTCTGTGCTATGACAGCAACAGCACCAGGTATTGCCCTGTCATAGTGCTTATTAGAGTTTGTAACTCTGCATTTATTATACATTTAATTACATGTTCAAAATTTCTTAGTACCTCACCATTTCCACGAAAGTGTAAGGTTGGTAGAGGGACCATATAATTTATTGCCCAAATCAGGACAGCTCTAAGGTGTTAGTAATAAATACACTGGGACAACAGGTATAAATGGGCTATGTCATCTGAGTCATAGGAGACTGCGGAGGTAGAGGGTAGTGTTGAAAGCCTGATGATAGTGGCTTTGTGTTAAATACAAGATGAAGAAGGGAAAGAAGCAGTGAGTAGAATCTACTCTTAAGTTTCATGTTGAAGAAAACGAGACGGATAAAGTAAACCTGAAGAAAAAAAAAGAGTAGCATGGATATGTAAACATAGGGGATGGGGAAACTAACCCTTTGTCTAGTGGTGAGAAAGTTTCCATTAGAAAGGGAAATGTTGTGATTGTATACAAAAGTAGATGAAGAAATATCCTCCAAAAGAGAAGGGATGGAGGGGAGATCAGGGGCTTACTGGTGCTGTTCTTCAGAGACACAGGGGTTGATGAGGAATAAAATAGAGCAGTTTCTCTCAAATGGCTTTTATCTTCTCATTGAAGTGAGAAGTAACAATGTCTGTAACAAGGAAAGCAGGGGCTGTAGTGAACCAGACTATATTTTAAAGAGCTCTGGGAGGAAACATTCAAGAGGGTGTAAACATATGTGAATAACAAGATGGCCAGAAAAGGCCAGCAGGTTGCCTGAACATAGGGAGCTTGGAATTGTGGGAAAACCAAGCTGAGTAATGAGTTTTCTTCTGGATAGTCAGTGGTTGTCTGAGTCTTTAACCACTCAATTCCTAACATCCACAGGCAGGCAGCCAAAAGAATAAGAATTACCAAAACAATAATGTTCTGGCATGTTCTGCCTGAATCTCAGCCTCTAACCCGAACTCATTCGTCAGGTTACTCTTCAATCTCAGTGTATTAGTCCTTTCTCTGCTATAAATAAATACCTGAGACTGGGTAATTTATAAAGAAAAGAGGTTTAATTGGCTCATGGTTTTACAGGCTGTACAGGAAGCATGGCTGGGAAGACCTCTTAAAACTTACAATCATGGCAGAAGACAAAGAGGAAAGAGACACATCTTCCCATGGTCAGAACCGGAGGAAGACAGAGAGCAAAGGGGGAGATGCTACACACTTTCAAAAACTAGATCTTGTGAGAATTCACTCGCTATCACCCTATCACCAGAACAGCAAGGGGGAAATCCATCCTCATCATCCAATCACTTCCCATCTGGTCCCTCCCCAAACATTGGGGATTACAATTTGAAATCAGATTTGGGTGGGGACACTGAACCAAACCATATCACTCAACTTCCATGCCTGTTCTCAGCATTGTTTTTACAACTTTCCAAAATCCTCAGCTGCCAATCACTTCCTTCCTTCTCTGGGCACATTTAAAGGGAGTCAGGGAACAGAGAGAATACTGACACAATTGATCACAATATCCAGCTTAGAGAGGAAGAAATAGCATCACTCAGGAGAGGGGGGTAACCAAGAGAGTTGAAAGAATACCCGAGGAAACTTCAGTCAATGTGAGGGATTGGGAAAGTCAGAGAGATGATGGTTCATGGTCAGATGTGAGAATTTCAGACTTTGCATTGATAGCATGGACATATTTTTACACAATGACAAAATTCGAGATGTGGTCATTAGTGCGGGTTGGTGGAGTCAAGAGGGAGAGGGAGGAAGAGGAGGGGGAGAGAGAGGGAGAGAGAATTAATGTATGGCAAAGAACAATCAGTGTCATACTTTTCATACATTTGGTAACCTCTCTCTATTTTGCCTATTGTCATAGTATAAGCCGTATGTTGGAATCTATGTCAAAATCCCAGCCAAATTTGCAAAACTGATAATTTTGTAATCCACTGGTCTAGTGATGAAAAACACTGTAAAAGAAGAAACTGATAAACCCAGAGAAGACCAATAAAACGTTTTATCTTGTTGGTCCAAAATAGGTGAAATCCTTAAAAACTTAATAGATTATTAGAGGCAGTCCTGTACAATTGATTGGTGACAAATAGACAAATATTTTAGCTCTTCTTCTTAGATAAAAAAAATACACAGAAAAGTCACTGGCTTTTTTCAAGTGAGAATAGCTACTCAAGAATCTGTTCTTTTATCTCTAACCAGAACAGGAATTCAACCTTTGAATTCTGGAGCTAGTCTTTGTTCCAGCTTTACAGTGAAATCTATCTGTCTCTCTCCCCACCCATCACTCACTGCTGTAGGGCTGTCTAAGATCTCTGATCACTAAGTAGACACTAATGCCAAATGACAGAGAAACTGTTTTATTGGTGTTTTATTGTTGTGAACAAGTGAAAATACAGGAGGTGAGAATTGTAGTTGTGTTTCTTTTCATTTTATTTCTTCCTTTTTCTTTTCTTTTAAATATGTTTTTCCTTGGTGTTTAATATTTTTAAACTTCTGCACTGTGAAAGTTGGATCCCGTATCCATGCAGCATAAATATATGACCATGTTTAAACAGGGATACTTTGAAAATTTATTTGCTATCTATCCAACTGGAGGGAGGACTCCAGAAACCTTGTGGGTGTGCACAGAAACTCTCCCTCCTTTCATTTGTGAATGCCTAAAACATGCCCAAACGAGCCAGAGTATGGAACTCGAATCTATAAGGATCTCCCAGGTACCATAGCAACACATCACAATAGTTTTTATACAATATATCATGTGCATGAGAATATTACTGTGAGACTCGTTTATGTGTAGATGGTTGATAAGATCAACTCCAGCTAACCTGATTATTACAATATTATGGAGTTTCATGTCTACACAGCTGCCTTATGAACTTGAACGCGTTTATTGCTCTGTTTGGGGTAAATATGCAATTACTCTGATAGCAATGATTTGCAGAGGTTAGAAACATGTTAAATTAAAAAGACCTGAAATTATACCATGAATCCAACTTTTGAAATACTAAACCTGTGTTGAAATAGCTTCTTCTTTCTGGATTTCTCTCTTGAAATAACATTGATTATTAATGGCTGACTATTACAGCAATAGATATTTAGAGACATAGAAAATAATCACATGGCATAAAGAATAAATTAAAAATCATCCTTAATTGTACCATTAAAATATAAATTAAAAATATACAATTTTACACAGTTTATCTACTAAAAGATTATTTTTGTATATTGTTTTCCTATTTAACTTTTTATTATGAGCATTTTCTCTACATCCCATTTAATTAATGATACTTCATTTAATTGGGTTCTAAGGTTGGGTATTTAGTCTATTTCTAATTTCTCTATACTATAAATGAGGTAATAATGAAATGTTTGTCTATGTTTGTATTAGTCCATTCTCACATTACTATAAAAAATATCTGAGGCTAGGTAATTTATAAAGAAAAAAGGTTTAATTGGCTCACAATTCTGTACAAGAAGCATGACAGTATCTGCTTCTGGGGAGGCCTCAGGGAGCTTTTACTCATTGCAGAAGGCAAAGTGGGAGCAGGTATCTTACATGGCAGAAGCAGGAAAAAGAGAGAGAACGGGGAGGTGCTACACACTTTTAAACAACCGTATCTCATAAGAACTCACTCACTATACAGTACCAACAGGGGATGGTGAGAAACCATTCTGGAAAAACCACCCCCACAATCCAGTCACCTCCCACCAGGCTCCACCTCCAACACTAAGGATTATAATTCTACATGAGATTTGGGTGGGGACACAGATCCAAGTCATATCAATGTTTTAACATATATGTCACATACAGTCTAGAATTGGAACTACTGAATCAACCGATGTAAACTATTTTAAACTTTAAACATATATTCCTTCCAGAAAGGTGGGCATACAAAGATTTGTATTTCCTTTTACTCACATGCCACTTGTTGCTATCATATAAGACTCTATGGTTTGATCTGCAATTAAAAAATTATATTGTTTTGCAAATGTTTTATTACTAGTGTTGAATCTTTCTTGTTTATTGCACATTTACATATTTTATTTCACAAAAGATATGTGTTCTTTTCTCATTGTGATTAGATTTGGGCTTTAATTTTTTTTTTAAATTTTGCTCTAAAAGAACAAAGCTGGAGACATCATGCTACCTGACTTTAAACTACACTACAGGGCTACAGTAAACAAAACAGCTTGGTACTGGTACAAAACCAGATATACATAGACCAATGGAACGGAATAGAGAGCCCAGAAATAAGACTGCACACCTACAACTATCTGATCTTTGATAATAAATGGTGCTAGGATAACTGACTAGCCGTATGCAGAAGATTAAAATTGGACCCCTTTCTTATACCATAGACAAAAATTAACTAAAATTATGTTAAACACCTACATGTGAAACCTAAAACTATAAAAACCCTGGAAGACGACCTAGGCAGTCCTGGTCCCAGGCAGCCCTGGAAGAGGACACAGGCATGGGAAAGATTTCATGACAAAGATGCCAAAGATGCCAAAAGCAATTACAACAAAAGCAAAAATTGACAAATGGGATCTAATTAAACTAAACAGCTTCTGCACAGCAAAAGAAACTATCAACAGAGTAAACAAACTACAGACTGGGAGAAAATTTTTGCAAACTATGCATTCAACAAAGATCTAATATCCAGCATCTGTAAGGAACTTAAACAAATTTATAAGGAACAAACAAACAACCCCATAAAAAAGTGGGCAAAGCACACAAACAGATATTTTTCAAAAGAAGACATACATGCGGCCAACAGTTATATGCTAAAAAGCTCAACCTCACTGATCATTAGAAAAATCCAAATCAAAATCACAATGAGATGCCATTTCACACCAGTCAGAATGGCTATTATTAAAAAGTCAAAAAATAAGAGATGCTCGCAAGATTGTGGAGAAAAAGGAATGCTTATACACTGTTAGTGGGAGTGTAAATTAGTTCAACCACTGTGGAAGACAGTGTGGCAGTTCCTCAAATACCTAAAGACAAAAATGCCATTCGACCAGCAATCCCATTACTGGGTATATACCCAAAGGAATACAAATCATTCCATCATACAGACACATCCATGCACATGTTCATTGCAATGTTATTCACAATAACAAAAACATGGAAACAACCTAAATGCCCATCAATGATAGACTGGATAAAGAAAATGTGGTACATATACACCATTTAATACTATGCATCCATAAAAATGAACAGGATCATGCCCTTTGCAGGGACATGGATGAAGCTGGAGGCCATTATCCTTAGCAAACTAACACAGGAACCAGAAAACCAAATACCACATGTTCTTACACATAAGCAGGAGCTAAATGATGAGAACAAATGGACACATAGAGGGAAACAACACACACTGGGCCTATTTGAGGGTGGAGAATGGGAGGAGGGAGAGGATCAGAAAATATAACTAATGGATTCTAGGCTTAATACCTGGTGATGAAATAATCTGTATACCAACCCCCATGATACACATTTACCTATGTAACAAACCTGCATATGTATCCCTGAATTTAAAATAAAAAATTTTTAAAAACGCTTTGCTTTTTAGGACTTGAAAATACTTTCTTCATTTTTTTGGCTTTCTTCACAATTTTATTTATGTATATATTGTGTTTAGAAATCTGTTACTTTGAAATATATATAAGAAAACGTATTGAAATTTTTATTAAGAGATCTCTACTCACTTTTATGATCTCTTTGTGAGATTAGATGAAAGTTTCCAAAATTTTCTTCTAGGTGTTCTATTATTTCAAAATTTTCATATAGTTGTATAAATCTATCTGAAAAGTGCCCTAATGTGTTCTATTATTATAGGTTGCTCATATGCCTTAGCCAAAATGGATTTGTACCTCGTATAATAAAGCAATATTAAGCAAAGTCCACTTCTTTGACAAGAATTTTTTTTTAGAATTTTAACTCTAATTTTGACAAAGAAAATGCTTCAAAAGTATGAAAGACATGCGTGAAAAAATGTAGCGTATCAATTAATTAAAGGTGGGTGCAAGGGAATAAGAAATGATTAACATTTCTTTCCATTAAATGTTTAATGGAAAACATTTACCCTGGAGAAATACTGACATCTTTTTTTTTTGCTCTAATAACAATAATGATATTTAGACATTGCCTATTACTTTATCAGTGCCTGACTCGTTTAAATTTTATTGCTGCTTCAGGATACAAGTCTATTTGTGTTAAGAATACATGCTACTCAAATAGGAAAAAAACCAGTAGTCTGCCATTAATGTATTTACCAGTTTATTGTGGGATAGCATAATTTTCCAGGCCTATGGACTCTGAA